>NC_000015.10:86895823-87047338 GCF_000001405.40 Homo sapiens | reverse complement strand
TCCTATTGCTACCTAACAAACACACTAAAACTTAGTGGCTTTAAACAACAACCATTTAATTTGCCCACGATTCTAGTTTGTGAGCTGGGCTCAGCTGGTCTTGCCAGTGATCACTCCTATGACTGCATTCAGCTGGCAGGTCGTCTGGGCGCTGGGATGCCAGTAAGGCTGGGCATCTTCCTCTGCTCCTGTAGTCTCAGAGCTTCTCCCATTCCACATGAAGTGTCCACTCTGTATCTCCATGTGCTCTCAACAGTAGTATGACTGGACTTCTTAGAAGACTGAAGATTCCCAAGAGCACAAAATAGTGGCTTCCAGGCATTCATAAGACTTAGACCCAGAACTAGCACAGCGTCACTTCCAACACATTCTATTTGTTAAAACAAATCGCAGGCTGAGAACAGATTCCAGAGAAGGGTCAGGATTAGGGTGAGGCAAATAAGGTTCCTTGGACACATCTCTGAGTAAGTGGATCTGTGTACATGGATCTCACTTATATTCTGTGCCATAGGCACCTACGTGGTCTCACTCTAGTCCAGGTCCTGCTGAAGAAAAATGGAAAAGGGCATGAATCTCAGCAGCCAGGATTTATTGGGGACCATCAAGGTGACAATGTAACATAATCTGGTTTATAATGATTCACATTCTTCCCAGATGAAAAATATTCTCACTCCCTACCCCACAAAAGCAAAAAGTATGACCCCATTTTAATGTTATGCTTGGGTTTGAGGTCTAGGATATTGTCTTCTAAATCAGACCCAACGTGGATGAGGTTCATTGTCTGTTTTTCCTCAGGGTCAACCGAATGAGTATACATCTTCTCAATCTAAAGGCCTGTAAAGTGATCTTACACACCCCAGGGTATAACACAGAAGCAGACATAGAAGTAGAATAACTGCAATGGACAAGACCATGCAAAAAGTAATTTAAAAAATAAAAAAGATGCATTTCAGTCACTGGCTTGCAGAAATTCTCTCATCTACCAGGGCACATATCATCAATTTTCTTATTCCAGGGTGAAAAAATATTCCTTGATTAAGGCTCAATTTTAGTCCTTGGAAAATGTGTGTGTGTGTGTGTGTGTGTGTGTGTGTGTGTGTGTGTGTGTGTGTTGGCTGTGCTCTTGGCATCATCCTTTTAAAATCAAATTGGCATGTGTTTTGTACCTAAGTGGTTTTCTCATCCTACCGCCTGTCTGTAGGTGTCCAGAAGCCTGTTATTATTTTGAACTGTCCTTGGTCCTTTTAGTTCAAGCTGCTAGTGCTTCCATCAATATAATTACATTTACAAACTTTGTAAGTTTTCTATGAGTCATATCGGTGTTTACTTCATCAGACAAAAACCACACCTTCACATATCTTCAAAAGAAATCACACTCTACTTTGGGCTGCTGTGATACAATGCCCTTCAGATTCTTAGAAGTCTTTTGGCCTGAGTTCATAAGGCACCCCATTAAACTCTTCTGAGGTCCTGTCACAGGATTTGCAGTTGCATTTCTCATTTGATTTTGACCTGACCCTGAGGCCATCTTTTACTGACAGAACCCTAGATTTGGTCCTTGCCCTGAGGCCAATTCTTATTTTGAGAATCTTTATTTTCTGGAGAAGCTGCCTATGAAAAGCGTTTAATTTTCCATACTATCAAATTCAAATGTGGGTTTTATTTTCTCTAGCTTCTATTAATACTTGAAAACTGAACAGCTTATCTCTTAGTTCATCTCTAGCTGTATATTATGAAACAGACAAACATAACTGGCACTCATACCATTCAACCTAGACATCTCCTTAGCTAGAGGTACAAACTCACTGAGTAAATTTTCCTTTTTTTTTTTTTTTTTGAGAAACAAGGCTGTTTATTTCACCTGGGTGCAGGCGGGCTGAGTCGGAAAAGAGAGTCAGCGAAGGGGAGATAGGGGTGGGGCCGTTTTATAAGAATTGGGTAGGTAAAGGAAAAAGGGGGGTTGTTCTCTGGCAGGCAGGAGTGGGGGTCACAAGGTGTTCAGTGGGAGAGTTTTTTGAGCCAGGAAAAGGAATTTCACAAGGTAATGTCATCAGTTAAGGCAAGGACTGGCCATTTTCACTTCTTTTGTGGTGGAATGTCATCAGTTAAGGCAGGAACAGGCCATTTAAATATCACGTCTTTTGTGATTCTTCAGTTACTTCAGGCCATCTGGATGTATAGGTGCAGGTGACAGGGGATATGATGGCTTAGCTTGGGCTCAGAGGCCTGACATTCCTGTCTTTTTATATTAATAAGAAAAATATAATAGTGTTGAAGTGTTGGGGCGGCAAAAATTTTGGGGGTGGTATGGAGAGATAATGGGAGATGTTTCTCAGGGCTGCTATGAGCGAGATTAGGGGCGGTGTGGGAACTGAGAGTGGGAGAAATTAAGCTGAAGGAAGATTTTGTGGTAAGGGGTGATATTGTGGGATTGTTATAAGAAATATTTGTTGCATAGAATTATTGGTGATGGCCTGGATACGGTTTTGTATGAATTGAAAAAAGAACGGAATAAGACAAGGAGAAAAACAGATATTAAAGGACTAAGAATTGGGAGGACCTAGGATATCAAATTAGAGAGTGCCTAAGGAGATTCAGCATAGCCCTGCCAGCAAAGATTATTTATTTATTTTAAGAGGGAGTAAAGAGTGGCAGTTTGGGGATAGCACCAGGAGATATCAGCTGTGATGGCTTGGAGAAACAGTGTAAACCGGCAGTGTAAACAAGAGCAGGGCATTTATGAGTAGTTGAGAATGGTGAATAGGAGTATGACTAGACAGAAGATAGTAGGGATGGCAAGTTGTTTTTTTTTTTTGGGGGGGGGGCGGCAGGGGCACAGTCCAAGTTGATCTGGTGTCTGGAATGAGACTGAGACTTAATAAAAAGGAGCATCCATTACAGGAGCTCAAATGGGCTGTACCTTGTAGCATTCCGATGACAGGCCCGAATTCTGAGAAGGACAAGTGGTAGAAGTATTGTCCAGTCCTTTTTATGTTGGTGGCTGAGCTTGGTGAGGTGTGTTTTTAAAAGACCATTAGTTCACTGAATACTAAGAGCCTGAGCAATTGCTTGGGTGCTTTGACTAATAAAGTCCTTCTAGGACTGTATAGAGGTGGGAAGGCCAAACCGAGGAATTATGTCTGACAGAGGGAAGAAATGACCGCGGTGGCCTTCTTAGACCCTGTGGGAAAGGCCTCTACCTATCCAGTGAAAGTGTCTACCCAGACCAAGAGGTATTTTAGTTGAGTAAAGCCAATTTGCCAGTCTTGGGCGGGGGCAAATCGCCGAGCTTGATGTGTAGGGAAGGGAGGGGTCCTGAATAATTCCTGAGAAGTAGTAGAATAGCAGATGGAACACTGAGAAGTTATTTCCTTGAGGATAGATTTCCATGATGGAAAGGAAATGAGAGGTTCTAAGAGGCAGGCTAGTGGCTTGTACTATAGCATAGCCTGCCTTAGCTGGTGTGTGGCAATTAGGCCGGGCGGAACTGCCATCAATAAACCAAGTGTGATCAGGGTGAGGAACAGGAAAGAAGGAAATATGGGGAAATGGGGTGAATGTCAGGTGGATCAGAGAGATACAGTCATGGGGGTCAGGTGTGGTATCAGGAATAATGTGGGAGGGCAGATTGAAGTCCAGGCCAGGAACAATGGTAACTGTGGGAGATTCAACAAAGAGTGAGTACAGCTGAAGGAGCCAGGGAGCAGAAAGTATATGCATCAGGTGTGAGGAAGAAAATAGATTTTGGAAGTTATAAGAACTGTAGAGAGTGAGTTGAGCATAGTTTGTGATTTTAAGGGCCTCTAAAAGTATCAGGGTGGTGGTGGCCACCACATGCCAAC
Source organism: Homo sapiens (assembly GCF_000001405.40). Taxonomy (NCBI): domain Eukaryota; kingdom Metazoa; phylum Chordata; class Mammalia; order Primates; family Hominidae; genus Homo; species Homo sapiens. The sequence goes on along the minus strand of NC_000015.10, from coordinate 87,043,496 downwards.
TTGAGGGCTAGGCAAAACGGTAAGGTCAAATTGTTTGGATAAAAAGGCTACAGGGCATGGTCCCGGTTCTTGTGTAAGAATTCTGACTGCACAGCCCTGCACTTCAGCTGTGGGTAATGAAAAGGGTTGGGATGAGTCAGGGAGAGCTAGGGTGGGGGCAGTCTCTAAAGCTGTCTTCAAGGAACAGAAAGAGGAGTGGGGAAAGGATTTAGGATCTATGGGGTCAGCTAGGTCTCCTTTTGTGAGTTTATATAATGGTTTTGTTAGGATGGCAAAACCAGGTATCTAAAGTCGAAAGTATCCAACCATGCTTAGGAAGCAAAGGAGTTGTTGTTTTGTAGAAGGTGCTGGGGTTTGAGAGATCAGTTGGACATGATAGGCAGGGAGAGCACGTGTGTTTTTATGAGAATTATGCCAAGATAGGTAACAGATGAGGAAGAAATTTGGGCTTGACTGAACTAATGGGGGCTGTCCGTGAAGCCTTGTGGCAGTACAGCCCAGGTAATTTGCTGAGCCCGATGGGTGTCAGGGTCAGTCCAAGTGAAAGTGAAGAGAGGCTGGGATGAAGGGTGCAAAGGAGTAGTAAAGAAAGCATGTTTGAGATCTAGAACAGAATAATGGGTTGTGGAGGGAGGTATTGAGGATAGGAGAGTATATGGGTTTGGCACCACCATGTGGATAGGCAAAACAATTTGGTTGATAAGGTGCAGATCCTGAAATAAGCCGTAAGCCTTGTCTGGTTTTAGGACAGGTAAAATGGGGGAATTGTAAGGGGAGTTTATAGGCTTTAAAAGGCCATGCTGTAGCAGGCGAGTGATAACAGACTTTAATCCTTTTAAAGCGTGCTGTGGGATGGGATATTGGTGTTGAGCAAGGTAAGGGTGATTAGGTTTTAATGGGATGGTAAGGGGTGCATGATTGATCGCTAAGGAGGGAGTAGAGATGTCCTACACTTGTGGGTTAAGGTGGGGAGATACAAGGGGAGGATGTGAAAGAGGCTTTGAACTGGGCGAAAAGGTGGCAATGAGGTGTGGCTGTAGCCCAGGAATAGTCAGGGAAGCAGATAATTTAGTTAAAGTGTCTCAGCCTAATAAGGGAACTGGGCAGGTGGGGATAACTAAAAACGAGTGCTTAAAAGAGTATTGTCTAAGCTGGCACCAGAGTGGGGAGTTTTAAGAGGTTTAGAAAACTGGCCGTCAATACCCACAACAGTTATGGAGGCAAGGGAAACAGGCCCTTGAAAAGAAGGTAATGTGGAGTGGGTAGCCTCCATATTGATTAAGACAGGGACAGACTTACCCTCCACTGTGAGAGTTACCCAGAGCATCTGTGATGGTCCTGCAGGCTTCCGAGGCAATCGGGCAGTGTCAGTCTTCAGCTGCTAAGCCTAGAAGATCTGGGAAGGTGTCAGTCAGAGAGCCTTGGGCCAGAGTTCCAGGGGCTCTGGAAGTGGCTGCCAGGTGAGTTGAACAGTCCGATTTTCAGTGGGGTCCTGCACAGATGGGACACGGCTTAGGAGGAATCCGGGGTAAGTTTTCTGTCTTCTAAGTCCATGGTCCCCAACCTTTTTGGCACCAGGGACTGATTTCATGAAAGACAATTTTTCCATGGATGGGGTGGTGGTGGGACATAGTTTTGTGGTGAAACTGTTCCACCTCAGATTCTTAGGCATTAGATTCTCATAAGGAGCTTGCAACCTGGTTCCCTCGCATGTGCAGTTCACAATAGGCTTTGTGCTCCTATGAGAATCCAATGCCCTGGCTGATTTGACAGGAGGCAGAGCTCAAGCAGGAATGCTTGCTTGCCCTCTGCTCACCTCCTGCTGTGTGGCCCAGTTCCTAACAGGCCACAGACCAGTACCAGTCCACAGCCTGGGGGTCAGGGATCCCTGTTCTAAGTCACCTAAGATGACAGTGTTTCCAAATATTCTGCCATTACATAACACGAACCATCTTTCCTCCAACCTTTATTTACAATTCTGTACTAGTTCATTTTCTGTTGCTTATAACAGAATACCTGAAACTGGGTAATATGTAAAGAAAAGAAGTATATTTTTTATAGTTACAGAGGCTGAGAATTCTGAGATTGAGGGACTGCATCTAGTGAGAGTCTTCTTGTTGATCGGGACTTTCTGAAGAATCCAAAGGCAGCACAGGATGTCACATGATGGGCGGCTGAGTGTACTATTTCAGGTCTCTGTTTCTCTTCTTATGAAGCTACCAGTTTGTTTCCCATGATAACCCATTAATCCATAAGTGGATTAATCTATTCATGAGGTCAGGACCCTCATGATACAATCACCTCTTAAAAGATTCCACCCTTCAATACAGCCACATTGGGGATTAAGCTTCCAACACATGAAAACTGGGAGACACATTCAAACCATAGCAAATTTACTCATGCCTTTCTAGCACCCAGTAGCAGGCTTCTTATTGCCCTTTAAGTACCTATTCTCCACTAAATCCCAATGGCAATGTCACATATATTCGATATTTGTTATGGCAGCACCTCATGTATAGGTAACAATTTAAGTTTTAGATATCTATTACTGCATAACAGAGAGCTCCAAAACATAGTGACTTAAAACAACACTAGTTTATTTTCTCATACCCTGTGCATCAGAAATTTGCACAGGGTTCAGTTTGACAATTCTATTATTTTATAAGGTTTTGGCTTGGGTCATTCACTTGACTACATTCAGCTAGTGTCTAGGCTAGTGTAAAGATACAAGAAGGCATTTGGATAGCTAATTTCTCCAGCACCATGTTTGATTCTATTCTCTATCTAATTGCATTGGCATCTTTGTCACACTCAATAAACTATTGTTTTATTGATCTAAGTGTTTATATTTTACCAGTACCATACTGTTAAAGTTGGTTTCTTATAGAGATCACTATAGCAGTGACTTTTTCATATCTAGTCAGATAATCTCAATATTTTGATTAAAGTATTTAAACTCTTTATATTTAATGTAAATATTAATATGACTAGATTTCAATTGATTATCATGCTATTTCTTTTTTATTCTCTCATCATTTATAATTTAGTCCTTTTCTCCTCTTTTACTGAATAATTTTGTGTTACCTGAATATATTTTTCTATTCCAACTTACGTCCACTCTTGGCTTATTAGATTTATCTGATTTTTAATTTAATTTTATAGTGATTGCTCTATGATCTAAAAATCCATTTTTAACTTATTACCTGCTACCTGTAAAAATATTATACAACATCCTACAGCATGTAAGAAACATACAACAGTATGCTTCTGTATTTCCCACCTGACCTTTGTGCTATTGTTAGCATACCTTTCATTTCTATATGTTAGGAACCTCACGACACATAGTTATTATTTTTACTTTATATGTTAAAATATTAAATAAATTTTTTAAACATGAAATAGACTTTTATATCGACCCACATACTACCATTTCTAACACTCTATTGTTTTCTATATGTCCAAGTTTTCATGTGGTATAATTTTTCTTTGGTATGAAGAACTGCTCTAAACATTTCTTGACTACAGGTCTGCTGGCAGTGCTTTTGTCAGAAAACGTCATCATTTCGTGTTCATTTTTGAAGAATATTTTCATTATCTACAGAATTTTGTCTTCGCAATTATTTTTCCTTCCAATACATAAAGGTTGCTGGTCCTTTATCATCTGGCTTGCTTTGTTTCTGACAAGATGCCTACATTCATTTTTATTTTTGTTTTCCTATACAAAATATGGCTTTCCCCCACTCTGGCTGTTTTTATTTTCTTTTTATTACTGACTTAAGAAATTCGGTAATGATTTGCTTTGGTGTCACATTTTTTCATTTTTCTTCCTCAGGATTTGTGAGGCTTCTTGAATAAAGAAATACATAATTTTCACAAATTTGAAGTTTTTAAATAATTTCTCTAATATTTTCCTGTCCATTCTGCTTCTTTTCTAAGAATCCAATTAAGCATGTTAGACCTCAATAATGTCTGCAGTTCACTGCTGTTGTGGTCACTTTTTCAGTGTTTCTTCCCTCTGTGCGCTTGAGTTTCCTCTGCTCTGTTTTCAAGTTGACTGGTCTTTTTCTCTGCAGTGTTTATTTTTTGCTAATTCCATCTCTTGCTGAACTTTTAATTTCAGATAACGTATTTTTAAGCTCTGGAGTTTTAACAAAAATGTTGTTCACTTGTTTACTCATAATTTCCTTCTTATTCTCCTCTTAATTTTTGAACATATAACAGCATTTTGAAAGTGCTTACATGCTATTTCAGTCATCAGTTGTGTTTAAATCTGTTTCTGTTGACTGATTTTTCTTCTGGTAATAATAGTTCACATTTTCCTGGCTCTTCACTCATCTAATATTTTTTATTGGATGTCTAGTATTATGAATGTTACATTGTTGAGTATTTGGATTTTGTTGTCTACCTTTGAAGAGCACAGCAGTTTGTTTTGACAGCTAAATTTCTTTTGGATCAGCTTGTCATTTCTAAGGCTTGTGTTTAACTTTTGTTAATGTGGATATAGATTAGCCTTTGTTCCAAGGCTAGTTTAGACTCACTGCTTCAGTAACCTACTTGGATCTCTACTGAATGTGCTCAGAATTCAGTGTCTCTCACTGTATTCATCCGTTTTCAAACTGCTATAAAGAAATACCCAAGACTGAGTAATTTATAAAGGAAAGAGGTTTTAATTGACTCACAGTTTCGCATGGCTGGGGAGGTCTCAGGAAACTTACAATCATGGCAGAAGGTGAAAAGGAAGCAGACACCTTCTTTACAAGGCAGCAGGAAAAGACAGTGCAAGCAAAGGAGGAACTGCCAAACACTCATACACCCAACAGATCTCGTGAGAACTCACTGGCTATCACGAGAACAGCATGAAGGAATCCACCCCCATGATCCAATCACCCCTCCCTCCCCTGTCAGGTCCTTCCTCAATACAGTTTGAGAAGAGAGTTAGGTGGGGACACAGGGCCAACCCATCTCACTCACTGTGGCTATTAGGAACTTGAATGTCTCCCAGCCCTGTAAGAAATCTGGAAGTTGTTAGCACATAGTTTCCCGGCAATTGTTCTTTTTAGGTTTCATAGAAGATTACTCTTTCCCTGTAGAGAGTAATATTTAGCCGGAGACTCAAAAGGGCCCCTGCAGATTTCTGTGGCTCTCCCTGTGAGTAATCCTTTGTTCTCTGGTGCTCTTCTTTCACCTATTCTAGTTACCCCTGACTTTCCAAGATTTTTTCTCTGTCTTCTCTTATCAGCAAAACCTTCAGGCTCTGATTAAATTTCTTCTTCCTTTGCTAATGGACTCTAGGCAGAAAACTGGGATAGTGATTTAGACCAGCTCTTTAATTTCCATTTTCTTAGGGATCACAGTCTTATCCTACCTGTTGTCCAATGTCTGAAAAATATATGTGTGTATATATGTATGTGTATATGTATATGTATGCAGTATGCCACTTTAATTTTTTTCTCATTGCCATCTGTGTGTATCTTAAAAGATATTTTCTGAGTGGTTCCACTCAGAAATTAGTCTGAATGATACAAATATAGATTCAAAGTTTCCATAAAAACTATGCTTTAATACAGCTCCTCCCTCCCCCCAATTTATGTTATTTTTGTGGCAAGTTGCATCTTTATATAGGATGTATCCATTAACATAGATTTATATTGTTTTATGCATTTAAATCATATAAAAAATAAAGTTAACAAAAACTAAAAATACAATAATATCAGCTTTTATCCTTATGTAATTATCTTTACCAGGATTTATCATTTATGCATATAGCTTTGATTTTCTGTCTGATATTCTTTAATTTGAGCCAAAGGATTCTAATTAGGATTTCTTGTAGGGCAGTTCTACCAGCAATGAACTCCTTCAGCTTTTGTTTATCTGAGAATGAGATTCTTGAATGTGTAGATATGTCTTTTATCAAATTTTAGAGTTTCTTCAAATATTATTTTCTCTCCTATTTCCCTTTCATCTCCTTCTGGGATTCTCATTATGTGTATGTTTTTATGCCTAATGGTGTCCCACAAAACCTTTAGGCTCTGTTCCTTTTTCTTCATTTCTATTTTTCTTCTGTTCCTCAGACTGAATATTTTAAATGGTTCTACCCACATTTTCTCTGATTATCTTTTCTGTTTGCTCAAATCTGCTATTGGTATCCTTTAGTGAGTTTTTTGCTTCAGTTATTATATCTTCAGCTTTAAAATTTCTGTTTTTTATAGTTTCTCTTTATTTATATTTTTTATTTATTCATATGTAATTATTCTGGTTTCCTGTAGCTCTTTAAGGTAGTTGAATTACAGTTATTTGTCTAGTAAATTAATGTCTGCTTTCTCAGGAACCGTTCCTATAAATTTCTTCTGTGAATAGACCACACTTTCTTGTTTTGTTTCGTGCTTCATAATTTTGAAAACAAACATTTTTAATACTAGAGTGTGATAACTCTGGAAATCAGACTTTTCCCTATCCTCTGCAATTGTATTAGTTGCTTGTTATAGGCTGTAGCCATTGGTTTAGTAATTTTGCTGAACTAATTTTGTACTGTATAGTCTTCTTCACGTGTGATCTCCAAAGTCTCTGTTCATTTAGTTTGTATTCAGCAAGTATTTTGGCAGATACTTCCTTACATGCCAGGAACGTCAACCTCCAAAATAAGAAAATTGACAAAAAAAGAGGAGGAAACAAATTTTAATAATAATAATAATCTATTTATCCTGGCCTTTGCAGGATAGGCTGAGTAACAGCTCAGCCTTCCAACATCAGATTAATTTCACTTTATTCTGCAAAAAGAATGTACTATTCTCCCACCTCTGTCTTCCATGTTTTGAAGCTTATGTTTGAAGCTATTACTTTGTGTTAATGATTCTTAGTTCACAATCTTAAAAAGAAAACAGACTGCAAATCTGTGTCTTTTATGGCAAAGAAAGAAACAAGTAGTGGTGTTATATTACCCCTTCAAAAGGAATAGCCCCTGTGTTATTTGCAGATTGGCTATGTGCTGGGTCACTCCTTCGATGTTTAGCCTTAGTTTTCGCTTCCTGCTTGTTCCAAGCCTAGAGATTAGCCCTAAGTGAAAGCTTAGGGCTTTCCCAGGTCTTTTCTGAGCATGTATCATGTCGTGGGCATATGTGTACCTTTCTAAATCTTTCAGTATACACAGGTGTCTTTGAGTAGCCTACTTTCCCAAAGAATCTCTCTTCTTATGTTTTCACCCATGCTTTGGGTATTCTCCTGTATGCTTCAGCCATAATCTTTTGCCTCAGGTGATTTTGGCTTCTTCAGTTGATTTACAAGGTTCTCAAGGATTGCATGCTGTTTTTCCACCCTGTGTGAGTTCCAGATCAGACAAAACAATGACAAGCAACTTGTGTCAGTTCTTCCAGCAGCCCCCAGACAGACAGATTAGAACAAACATAATTCTTTGCAAATGAGGTGTGTAATACTCCCTCCAGAATCAGGAAATGAGGTTCTGGGAAAGTGGGCTGCTGTCTTCAAAATCACTGCCAAACTGGAGAAGGGGTAGAGCAAGGGCAAGTAAAAATGCTACATAACTTTTCTACCATTTTTAAATGGTCTTTTTCTTGATTCAGCATTTGCTTGGTTATTGTAATTCTTTTATGATTTTCAGGATTCTGACAGTTGATTCTGACAACTTTGCTTGATTTTTCTGTTTCTGTTTGAAGAATGAATTGTTAGAGTTGCCTACTCCCCTACTTCTGCTGACATCATCTCTATTTTTACTTATTTGTTTTCTGGACATTACTAGTAGATAACAAAAGAGCAATAGAGATGAAATATGAAACAAAACCCCTGCAATTCTTTCCTGCTCCTGGACTGCACTTTGCAATAGGCAACAACATGAACTTTTACAAATTCAAAGGTGAAATCCAGGAGAAGGTGTCCTGAAGGGATTTGTGGGCATGCTGTTGCTAGACTTGAATACGTTCGATTCCTTTTACATATCTCCATTCTAATGAGAAGACCCTACATTTTCATAATTAGTGTGCCAATCTTACCAGCAGAAAGAAGACTAAAAATAATTTTGTCCCTGCAGTGTAGCAATGTGCCCAATAAATGTATTTGTTTGGATCCTCAGATAATTAATTTTGGCAGTATGTGTTCATTATTCATCCATTGATTAATTTACTCAACATATAAACTCTATGTATATACATATATATACACATATATATACATATACGTATATAAGTATATGTATATATATACTTATATACGTATATGTATATTATATATGTGTATATATACACATAGTTTATATATTAAATATATACATATATACATATATATACAGGTATATATACACGTACGTATATGTACATATACGTACGTGTATATATACAGGTATATATACACGTACGTATATATACATATACGTACGTGTATATATACACGCGTATATGTACATATACGTGTATATACACGTATATACGTATATATACGTATACATATATCTATATGTATAGATATACGTATATACACATGTATCTGTATATACATATATGTATATACACATGTATCTGTATATATATATTATGTATGTATACATTTATACATATGTATGTATACATGTATATATGTATGTATACATGTATATATAGGTATGTATACATGTATACATGTATATATGTATGTATACATATATGTATGTATACATGTATATATGTATGTATACATGTATGTATACATGTATACATGTATATATGTATGTATACATGTATGTATACATGTATATATGTATGTATACATGTATACATGTATATGTATGTATACATGTATACATGTATATATATGTATACATATACATATACATGTGGCTATATACACATATATATATACATATACATGTGGCTAGGGGCTGTTGCATTGGACAGCACACAGATCTAGCTGGTTTCTTGAGCTGTTACTTGGGCATTTACCAAGTGGTTCAGTCAGAAAAATTAATGTTTTATACTTAAAATAAGTTGTTTCTACACTATACTATATATGGTATAATCTATAGCATAAACCGCACAGTTCTTGAACACATATATATATGTGTTGTCATTTAAGTGTATATCATTTTGTTCATTAGTGGTATACATAAATGGAAAAAGAAAATCCCTGACCTCATGGAGCTTATATTTTAGTGGTAGAGGAATTTTTAAAAAGTATGTAAATAAATAGACTTAATAAATGCACATTATGAATATATATTATATAATATGCAAATATAGGCTATATGGGATATTAGTTTTTAAACCATATAGTAAGGTTAGAAGATTTTGGTAGTGATGCCAAAGAGAAAGGGTTATAATTTTAAGAAAATGATTGATGAGGGTAGTCTTTATGGAGAGGTGACATTTAAGAAATATATCAAATATCTTGAAGGAAGTAAGCAAAGAGTGGTTCAGATAAAGGTTCAGTCAGTGCAAAGGCTTCAAAGTGGGACTTGACATATATGAACCACAAGAAAGGTACTGTGTGGAATGAGCAAGGAGAGACATAGTAAGAAATAATCAGAGGGATTTTTAGAAGCCAGATGCTGTTGCCCACTATGAGTCATTTTAAGGACTTTAGCTATCTCACACTTTTGCTGAGTGATCTCTTGCTCAGGAATCATTAGAATATTTTGAAAAGGAGAGTGACATGATTTGACTTAGATTTTAAAAGAATCATTATGGCTACCATGTCAAGAATAATCTCTAGGGTAAAAAAGACATAAACATGAATTTTCGGTATCTCCTTCCCACTAGATTATCCCGTTTCCTTGTCCTGCTGCACTTTTCCGGAGTTTCCAAAGAGGAATTACATGCCGTGATATGACATCTTTAAGTTTTGTATCCAATTCTCCTAAATTCTGATCAAGTTCTACTGGTCTAGGTTTCAAGACAGTGAACATGAATGTCATTTTAGGGCCTATTGTCTTCCCAGTCCAGCATGGGCAAGATTCATTGTCCTTTTCCTTGATGCAGTCAGATTGACAGTGTCTCTGAACTTCCGGTACCTATTTTCATTATTAGTTAGGATTCTTTCACTTGCAAGCAACTTAATAAAGAATTGTTTTATTTTTACAGTCATATTTCACCAAAACCAAGGGCAGAAATTAAGCCAAGCTTCAGAGAGTGCTGGAATCAGAATCTGTAAAGCCACTGGGAATGTACCCAATCCTTTAAGAAAGTGAATATGATTGGCCCAGCTTGGGTCAGGTCTATCTTGATTAATCGGTTGTGTCCAACTGGACAGTCACATTGTACAAGAGTAGCCATAAGGGGCCCCCTTGTGGAAGGAGGAAAGATATTTTCAGAAAACGTAAAATGGTTCAAGAACTGTGCAGTTTATACTATAGATTATATCATATATAGTATAGCATAGAAACAACTTATTGTAAGTATAAAACATTAATTTTCTAACTGTACCACTTGCTAAATGCCCAAAATAACAGCTCAAGAAACCAGCTAGATCTGTGCCGTCCAATGCAATAGCCCCTAGCCACATGTAGCTATTGAACACACTTGAGATGAGACTAGTCCAAATCAAGATGTACAATAAGTACAAAATACACCTTTGATTATGAAGATCAAGTACAAAAACAGAACATAAAATGTCTCAATATTTTTTATTAACTACATGTCTGGATATACTGCATAAAATAAAATGTATCATTGAAATATATATATATATACTTTTTTTACATTTTTAATGTGGCTACTAGAACATTTAAAATTACACATTCGACTCACATTATATTTCTATTGGACAACACTGAGCTAGATTCATAGTACATTTTAACACTGAATGACAGCATACAAAATATATGCAAATATGTCGAGATGTAGACATGGTGTAGAAGTCAATGCTCTTTTAAGTTTCCCTTGGAATCCGTTAATCATATTCATGCATTTGTCTCCAGCTTCTGTGAACTTCGCTTCTAATGACCTGTATCTGCAATGCTGTTCGCATAACTATCTATCTCTTGGCTAGGAGAGCCACCTTTTCCTGCATGCCTTAGAGCTCACACCCCTCCAGGGCAGATTGTAGCCAGTGGCTGACTTATCGATCAAGAATGCCCAGCTCCTGTGCTTTGAGTTTTGACAAACTGTGAGGTGCAAACTATACTCCAGAGTTCCCCACAGAATCAGCTAGAGATTCGACTTTGCCTGAAATCATACCTTATTAACTTCTTCCCCTTCCCCTTACTTTCTCCATTTTTTTTTTTTACCATTTTATCCTGGGAGTGCTACCTTAAACTATTTAGGTTGGTGCAGAAATAATTGCAATTTTTGCCACTAAAAGTGAAGGCAAAACTGCAGTTACTTTTGCACCAACCTAATACTTGCCCATGAATCTTTATCTCAGGCTTTGCTTCTGGAGAACTAAAAAAGGCACATGGTAATTTTCTTTAAGTGGCAACTTGGACAGATTTTTGTAGTAAGGCTATGATTCCTGATGAGCCATATTCTCTCCCATGCTGCAGAGTGTTTCCTTACAAGCACAGAGTCCACAGAAATCTACAACTGCAGAGTTTTAATCAATATCTCAGTTTGCAAACGAAGGAAAAATAATAAATGGATACGGCACTGAAGGACAGTGTGTAATTGTGAAAGTCTTTTCTTTGGTTACTGATAAAAGTAATTTTATTCCAGAGAAGACCAAATTGATCTGAAAAATCTCCTTCGGCTCCGAGGAGAGTATGTTTGGATTGTTCCTTAAAAGTCATGCGGAGACATGTACAAGGCATGAATGGGGTGCAATGGTACATCTTTGAGCAATTAGCTAAGTACCGTAGAACTTGCCAGGACTGTCTGTCAGATTAAATGTGGAACAATGCCCAGCTTCAACTCTGGCAAAAATAAAACAAAGCAAAAAAAAAAAAAAACAGCAAATGAAGTCAAAACAATGTAATAAACCATGCTAAACTAAGTACAATAAAAGTGGAAGGTATTGAAAAAGAATAAAGCTTTAGTAAAGAGCCTGAAGGGCAAAAAAAAAAAAAAAAAAAATACAACAAATATTAAAAGTCCATTTCTCGTCTCATGTTAAAGAAAAAATCATTTGACATGAAGTTACATTTTTTATCTGCACTTAAGGCTGGTCTGTGTTATCTTAATACAATAAGGGAGCCACATATTTATTCCTATTTGCTGTAAATGTATATTTTTCATGAGAAATATCTCTCTATTTCTGTTAATATGTCTTCTTTTTCCAATTTTGCCGTTGACTAATCTTCCATTTTGTAATTATGGTTACATCAGGGTATCACAGATGTTGGTTTAAAAAAATTAAGGAAAAAAATGAGACAAAATATCAGTGATTTCAGGATATGTTTGAAAAGTTGCCTTCTTCCATACACAAAGCTGACACATGAAAAGATAAGGGAAGGTTGAATTTGTTCTGGCTTACAGAAAGCCCAAGATATTGTAGTGGGAATTGAAGAAGTAGGCAAATATGTTTGCCTAAAAATGAAAATGCTTTTTTTAAATAACAGCAAATATTTGCCTTCAGTTGACAGCAAATCGATGTCACTCTTCTCTGAAGTAGTGTTGGTTGTATCGGAAATATCAGGACCTGTGATGCCACCTCTGTCCTTCCTCAGCTCAGCCGCAACATCCTACCAGAGTGTAGACTTGTATGGACTGGGTGAGAGGCTGTGGCTTGGTGCGAGTAGAGTAATAGAGTTCAAATACACTGATAATTGGGAAAAATAGACCGAGTGAAGGAACTGGGATAGCTTTCTAATGGAGAAAAAGTGGATTTTATTCATAAGGAAGTAGTAAATTGGTAAATGTGCTCAATATAGTTAGCAAGGCAATATCACAAATAAATTTATTTAGAAAAAGAGGGGAAAAGTGCACAAGGAAGCTTAATGTGTGTCCTCAAACCACCAGGAATAATTTTGCTGGGCTTACTTGCAATGACATCATTTTCTCTACTCTTTCCTTAGTTATTTGCCATGATGGCAAAACTCACTTTGATTATTCTTATATGTTAAACACCAATGATTTTGTTAGTGATACAATCTATGGTCAAGCAAAGAGTTGTAAATAGAATGAGAGACTAGAATAATAAAACCTGCTTTTATTACTACTGTTCAATAAGAAATACTTACCTGTTCAAGCTGCCCCAGTAGAAATAAAAATTATATCTAAGAATTTGGTTCTTAAAACGATTGGGTATTTAAATATTGATATTTAAAGTTGAGTTTCACTCAGTCTTGAGGATAGAATCAGCTGCTCTTTATTATTTTTAATCTCTTCTCTTAACCTTGTATACATATGCCCACCATAAGATTTCTGAATCCTTGCATATTGTGCTAAAATGTCATGGGTGTACAGTAGACACATAAAGTAATAGTGGTAATAGTGACTTCAACTACAGCCACAAATGAGCTGTTCAGTATAAGCAGTTTTTCCAGATACCTTAAGTTTAGTTTAAGTATCCAACCTTTTAATTGTAATAATCTTGCTTAGATGTCTTTCAAAAATATAGATTTTTTTTTCATTTATCCTTAGTCAAAAAGAATCAATGAAATTTCACTTTTACTTCATTATTCAGAATTTTCTTTATGTATCTTCATTAACATCCTAGGAGCCATCAAGGGATGAAGGGTTGTTTGCCTCTACAACAAAATACCCAGAAGTGCTATGCATTTTAGTTTTGTGGCTTTTGTGTGTGCATGTGTTTGCATGTGTACGTGTGTGTGTGTATGTGCACCTTATTCTATGTCTCCCTCCATTTATTAGCTGTTGTGAGTTATGAAATCAGATATTTGAAGGAAAAGATTATATTCTAGAGAAATACAAACATAGAAAAACATTAAAATTCTTGTTTCCCTACAGACTATCTCTTTGACTTTAAAAAATACTCTCTAAACCTTAGTTTCCTCATTATAAAATGGACATATAACTATAGTCATCTCATAGGGTTTGTAGGAGGACAAAATAAGAAATTATACATAAGTACCAATGAAGGGGTAGTGGCCATTACTATTCCTAATGTTGCTGTCGTTGTTGTTATTATTATAAATAGAGTGCTGGTCCTTTGAAAGAGGATCTAAGAAAAATGCAAAGAATAAAGTATTAGCACATCAAAGCATGCATGAACTAGGGACATTATGCTTGGTGGTTAGATTCACTTTCTTCTTGATGACTAGTTTTGGTCTATGTTTAAATTGATGGATGTTCCAGAAAGTGATCCCTGGATAAATGAGTTGTTTCAGTATTACATAAAGGATATTGAGCCCCTGATGCTACAAAACCACTCATGGCTCTTTGAACCGAAAAAAGAGGCACTATTTCAAATATGGAAGCTGCCTTGGTAAGAGACATTTTAATGCTTGAGTAGAAGACTATCTATGTGAAGTACCTTTGCGATTCTTTCATTCATTTAGTTAATGTATATTTATTATATTTACCTAGTGTTAGTTCTGTCCTGTTCTAGGTTCAGAGAACTATGAACCAAATAGGTGGAGTCTATTTTTATGAAGATTGCCTGTCCTTATGTTTTCTTATGGAGGTAGATATACTAGATAAGGGAGTGCAGGGATGATGGAGCAACATTTTCCATAAGACATGTACAACATCTTGAAGGTTTCAGATATTTCCTCACAGATCCAGGAGGAGCTGGGCACATGGCATGAACTTCAATACTTGCTCATTTGAAGGGAGCCTCATCAAGTGTCACAAACTCTGAGAAGGAATAAGAAATATATTAATTACTATGCTTGAAGCCGTGTAACTTCTGGTTTGTGCCACAAGTTTGGCAAATTGACCTTTTAGAGATACGAAATTCATTTTCCTCATCTATGGATTATAAACAATCATACTTACATTTAGATTAGAGATGTAAGAGATATTTCTCCTCTTCAACCAGAATGTGAGAATGTGAGGGCATGAATTCTTATTTACTGCTTTATTCCCATTGCACTGAATAGGACCTGATACCTAGAAAATTCTCAATACATTTTTTTTAATGAATGGATGATTTAAAAATATAAAGTCATTAGGTAAATTCCAAGTATTAATATTATTGATATTATCATCACTACACTTAAAGTATTATTGTTTACACATGAAATTAATCTTTAAAAGTTCTATATGAAATTGGCCACTTGAATAAATTTAATTCAACTGACTTACTCACTAACCACGTTTGAGTCTATATGGGTCAGATATCCTATTTTGATACAGATACAAAAGCAAACAGGAAATACAATGCCTCTGCCTGCATGATAGTTGTATTATAATACAGCTTACAAAATATTTCCATTATTTTTCCAATAGAAAGACATTCTCAGAGAAATCTCACAACTTACTGCATTGAATATTATGAGGTTGATCAATAAGCAAAGGGCACTTAGATTTCTCACTTTCCAGTTAATATTGAAACAGAAGGTATTAGAGGAAATGGAGACTTTCCTTTTTTTTTCTTTTGGCCATACATTTATATATATATATATTTTTTTCTTCCACTTTTAAGTTCAGTGTATGTGCGCAGGATGTGCAGGTTTGTTACATAGGTAAACATGTGCCATGGTGGTTTGCTGCACAGATCATCCCATCACCTAGGGATTAAGCTCAGCAGCCATTAGTTATTCTTCCTGGGGCTTGCCCTCCCCTCACCTACACCCCTCGAGAGGCCCCAGTGTGTGTTGTTCCCCTTGATGTGTCCATGTGTTCTCAAAGTTCAGCTCCCACTTGTAAGTGAGAACACATGGTGTTTGGCTTTCTGTTCCCGCATTAGTTTGCTGAGGATAATGGCTTCCAACTCCATTTGTGTCTCTGCAAATGACATAATCTCCTTCCTTTTTATAGCTGCATAGTATTCCATGGCGTATATGTACCACATTTTCTTTCTCCAGTCTATCATTGATGGGCATTTAGGTTGATTCCATGTCTTCGCTATTGTGAATAGTGCTGCCATGAACATAAACGTGCATGTATCTTTATAATAGAATGATTTATGTAATAAATATACATCTATATAATACATATCTATATAATGTATTATATAATGCATAATACATCTATATAATGTATTATATAATGCATAATACATCTATATAATAGAATTATTTATATTCCTCTGGGTAATGAGATTGCTCGGTCAAATGGTATTTCTGCCTCCTGTCTTTGAGGAATCACCACGATGTCTTCCACAATGGTTTAACTAATTTACACTCCACCAACAGTGTAAAAGCACTTCTTTTTCTCTGCAATCTTGCCAGCATCTGTTGTTTTTTAACTTTTTAATAATACCCATTCTAACTGGTGTGAGATGATATCTCATTGTGGTTTTGATTTCCATTTCTCTAATGATCAGTGATGTTGAGCTATTTTTCATATGTTAGCCACATGTATATCTTTGTATTTATTCATTTTTATATGTTATTGAGGAACAGGTGGTGTTTGGTGACATGAGTAAGTTCTTTGGTGGTGATTTGTGAGATTTTGGTGCACCCATCACCCAAGCAGTATGCACTGCACGCTATTTGTAGTCTTTTATCTCTCATCCCCTTCCCACCCTTTCCCTGAGTCCCCAAAGTCCATTGTATCATTCTTATGTTTTTGCATCCTCATAGCTTAGCTCCCACTTATGAATGTGAACATACAATGTTTGGTTTTCCATTCCTGAGTTACTTCACTTCAAATCATAGTCCCCAGTCTCCTCCAGGTTGCTGCGAATGCCAATAATTCATTCCTTTTTATGGCTGAGTAGTATTCCACTGTGTATATATACCACAGTTTCTTTATCCACTTATCAATTGATGGGCATTTGAGTTGGGTCCACATTTTTGCAATTGCAAATTGTGCTGCTATAAACATGTGTGTGCAAGTATCTTTTTTGTATAATGACTCTGGGTAGGTATCAGTAGTGGGATTGCTGGATCAAATGATAGCTCTTCTTTTAGTTCTTTAAGGAATTTCCACACTGTTGTTCATAGTGATTGTACTAGTTTACATTCCCACCAGCAGTGTAGAAGTGTTCCCTGTTCACCACATCCATGCCAACGTCTACTATTTTTTTGATTTTTTGATTATGGCCATTCTTGCAGGAGTAAAGTGGCAGTGTATTGTGGTTTTGATTTGTATTTCCCTGATCATTAGTCATGTTGAGCATTTTTTCATATTTGTTGGCCATTTGTATATCTTCGAGAATTGTCTATTCATGTCTTTAGCCCACTTTTTCATGGGATTGTTTGTTTCTTGTTGATTTGTTTGAGTTCATTGTAGATTCTGGATATTAGCCCTTTGTTAGATGTATAGATTGTGAGAATTTTTTCCCACTCTGGGTTGTCTGTTTACTCTGCTAACTGTTCCTTTTGCCGTGCAAAAGCTCTTTAGTTTAACTAAGTCCCAACAATTTATCTTTGTTATTATTGTATTTGTGTTTGGGTTCTTGGTCATGAAATCCTTCCCTAAACCAGTGTCTATAAGGGTTTTTCCTATGTTGTCTTCTAGAATTTTAATTTTCAGGTCTTATATTTAAGTCCTTAATCAATCTTGAATTGATTTTTGTATAAGGTGACAGATGAGGATCCAGTTTCATTTTCCTACATGTGGCTAGCCAATTATCCCAGCACCATTTGTTGAAAAGGGTGTCCTTTCCCCACTCTATGTTTTTGTTTGCTTTGTTGAAGATCAGTTAGTTGTAAGTATTTGGGTTCATTTCTGGGTTCTCTACTCTGTTCCATTAGTCTATGTGCCTATTCTTATACCAGTACCATGCTGTCTTGGTGACTATGGCCTTATAGTATAGTTTGAAATCAGGTAGTGGGATGCCTCCAGGTTTGTTCTTTTTGCTTAGTCTTGCTTTGCTTGCTTTGGCTATTTGGACTCTTTTTTGGTTCCATATGAATTTTAGAATTTTTTTTCTAATTGTGTGAAGAATGATGGTGGTATTTTGATGGGTATTGCTCTGAATTTGTAGATCGCTTTTGGTAGTAACGTTATTTTCACAATATTGATTCTACCCATCCATGAGCATGGGATGTGTTTCCATTTGTTTGTGTCATCTATGATTTATTTCAGCAATGTTTTGCAGTTTTCCTTGCAGAGGTCTTTCACTTCCTTGGTTAGGCATATTCCTAAGTTTTTTTCATGTTTTTTGTTTTTGTTTTTGTTTTGCAGCTATTTTAAAAGGGGTTGAGTTCTTGATCTAATTCTCAGCTTGATAACTGTTGGTGTATAGAAGAGCTACTGATTTGTGTACATTAATTTTGTATCTGGAAACTTTGCTGAATTCTTTTATCAGTTCTAGGAGCTTTCTGGAGGAGTCTTTAGGGTTTTCTAGGTAAACAATCATATCATCAGCAAACAGCAGCAGTTTGACTCCCTCTTTACCAATTTGGATGCCCTTTATTTCTTTCTCTTATCTAATTTCTCTGGCTAGGATGTCCAGTACTAAGTTGAAGAGGAGTGGTGAGAGTGGCCATCATTGACTTGTTCCAGTTCTCAGAGGGAATGCTTTCAACTTTTCCCCATTCAGCATTATATTGGCTGTGGGTTTGTCATAAATGGCTTTTATTATATTGAGGTATGTCCCTTGTATGTCGATTTTACTGAGAGTTTTAATCATAAAGGGATGCTGGATTTTGTCAAATGCTTTTTCTGCATCTATTGAGATCATCATGTGTTTTTGTTTTTATTTCTGTTTATGTGGTGTATCACATTTATTGACTTGCCTATGCTAAACCCTGCATCCTTGGAATGAAACCCATTTGATCATGGTGAATTTTCTTTTTGATATATTGTTGGATTCAGTTAACTAGTATTTTGTTGAGGATTTTAGCATCTATGTTCATCAGGGATATTGGTCTGTAGTTTTCTTTTTGGGCTAGATCCTGGTTTTGGTATTAGGGTGATACTGGCTTCATAGAATGATTTAGGGAAGGGTCTCTCTTTCTCCATCTTGGGAAATAGTGTCAATCGGATTGGTAGCAATTCTTCTTTGAATGTCTGGTAGAATTCTGCTGTGAATACGTCTGGGAATCTGTCTGGTCCTGAACTTGTTTCATTGGTAATTTTTACGTTACCATTTCAATCTTGCTGCTTGTTATTGGTCTGTTTAGGGTATCTAATTTTTCCTGAGTTATGCTAGGAGAGTTGTATCTTTCCAGGAGTTTATCCATTTCTTCTAGGTTTCTAATTTATGCATGTAAAGATGTTCATAGTAGCCTTAAATGATCTTTTTTATTTCTGTGGTGTTAGTTGTAATATCTCCTGTTTTATTTCTTATTGAACTTATTTGGATTTTCTCTCTTCTTGGTTAATCTTGCTAATGGTCTATCAGTTTCATTTATCTTTTCAAAGAACCAGATTTTTGTTTCATTTATCTTTTATATTTTTGTTGTTGTTTCAGTTTCATTTAGTTCTGCTCTGATATTGGTTATTTCCTTTCTTCTGCTGGGTTTGGGTTTGGTTTGTTCTTGTTTTGGTAGTTACTTGAGGTGTGAACTTAGATTGTCTGTTTGTGCTCTTTTAGACTTTTTGATGTAGGTATTTAGTGCTATGAACCTTCCTCTTAGCACTGCCTTTTGTGTCTCAGAGGTTTTGATAGGTTGTGTCACTATTGTCATTCAGTTCAAAGAATTTTTTAATTTTCATTTTGGTTTAATTTTTGACCCAATGATCATTCAGAAGCAGGTTATTTAATATCCATGTATTTGCATGGCTTTGAAGTTTCCTTTTGGAGTTGATTTCCAGTTTTATTCCATTGTGGTCTGAGAGAGTGCTTGATATAATTTCAATTTTCTTAAATTTATTGAAGCTCATTTTGTGGTCTATCATATGGTCTTTCTTGAAGAAAGTTCCATGTGCTGTTTAATACAATGTATATTCTGCAGTTGTTGGATGGAATGTTCTGTATATATCTGTTAAGTCCATTCGTTCTAGGGTATAGATTAAATCCATTGTTTCTTTGTTGAATTTCTGTCTTGATGACCTGTCTAGTGATGTCAGTGGTGTATTAAAAAGTCCCCCACTATTATTGTGTTGCTGTCTATCTCATTTCTTAGGTCTATTAGTAATTGTTTTATAAATTTGGGAGCTCCAGTGTTAGGTGCATATACATTCAGGATTGAGATATTTTCCTGTTGGACAAGGCCTTTTATCATTATATAATGTCCTTCTTTGTCTTTTTCAACTACTGCTGCTTTAAAGTTTGTTTTTTCTTACATAACTATAGCTACTCCTGCTCACTTTTGCTGTCCGTTTGCATGATGTCTCTTTTTTCACCCCTTTCACTTAAGTTTGTGTGAGTCCTTACGTGTTAAATGAGTATCTTGAGGGCAGCAGATAGTTCATTGGTGAATTCTTATTCATTCTGCAATTCTGTATCTTTAAGTAGAACATTTAGGTAATTTACCTTCAATGTTAATATTGAAATGTGAGGTACCATTCCATTCATCATGCTATTTGTTGCCTGTGTACCTTGGTTTTTTTGACTTCATTTTTTAAATGGTATTTTTATTTTATAGGTCCTGTGAGATTTATGCTTTAAAGTGGTTTTGTTTTGATGTTGTTTCCAGGATTTGTTTCAAAATTTAGAGCACTTTTTGAAAAGCAGTTCTTGTAGTGGTGGCATGGTAGTGGTAAATTCTCTCAGCATTTGTTTGCCTGAAAAAGACTGTATCTTTCCTTCATATATGAAGCCTAGTTTCAATGGATACAGAATTCTTGGCTGATAGTTGTTTTGTTTGAGGAAGCTGAAAATAGGGCCCCAATCCCTTCTAGCTTGTACGGTTTCTGCTGAGAAATCTGCTGTTAATCTGATAGGTTTCTTTATTTTAATAGGTTACCTGGTACTTTTGTCTCACAGCTCTTAAGATTCTTTCTTCCGTCTTAACTTATATAACCCGATGACAATGTGCCTAGGCGATGATCTTTTTGTGATGAATTTCCCAGGTGTTCCTTGAGCTTCTTGTATTTGGATGTCTAGGTCTCTAGCAAGGCCAGGGAAGTTTTCTTCAATTATTCCCCCAAATATATTTTCCAAACTTTTAGATATCTCTTCTTCCTCTGGAGCACCAATTATTCTTAAGTTTGGTCATTTAATATAATCTCAGACTTCTTGGAGGCTTTATTCATATTTTCTTACTCTTTTTTCTTTGTCTTCGTTGGATTGGGTTAATTCAAAGACGTCTCTGATTAGCTTAATAACTAACATCCTGAATTCTTTTTCAGGTAAATCAGGGAGTTCTTCTTGGTTTAGGTCCATTGCTGGTGAGCTAGTGTGATTTTTGGGGGGTGTTAAATAACCTTGTTTTGTCATATTACCAGAGTTGGTTTTCTGGTTCCTTCTCATTTGGGTAGACTCTGTCAGAGGGAAGGTGTAGGGCTGAAGGCTGTTGTTCAGATTCTTTTTGTCCCATTCAGATTCTTTTGTCCCACAGTGTGTTCCCTTGAGGTAGTACTCTCCCCCTTTTCCTATGGATGTGGCTTCCTGAGAGAATAGCTGTAGTGATTGTTATCTTTCTTCTGGATCTAGCCACCCAGCAAGTCTACCAGGCTCTGGGCCAGTACTGGGGATTTTCTGCAGAGTCCTGTGATGTGAAACATCTGTAGGTCTGTCAGCCGTGAATACCAGCAGAGTATTTGGCATGTCTCCTGGGTCCTGCAGGAGCAATCCGCTTCCTTCAGGGGTCTGTGGGTCCTTTCAGGTTTCCTGATTTATTCCTGCAGTTGTTCTGGAGCAGAAATTCATAATGCAAGCCTCCACATGCTGCTCTGTCTGAGTTAGAGCTGCAGTCTAGTCCTGCCTCCCATCTGCCATGATTCCCTAGGAGTTGAAAACACATGTCTTCTTTTGAGAAGTGTCTGTTCATGTGCTTTGCTCACGTTTTAATGGGGTTGTATGTTTTTTTCTGGTAAATTTGCTTAAGTTCCTTATAGACTCTGGATATTAGGCCTTTGTCACATGGATAGATTGCAAAAATTTTCTCCTATTTTGTAGGTTGTCTGTTCACTCTGATGAGAGTTGCATTTGCTGTGCAGAAGCTCTTTAGTTTAATTAGATTCCATATGTCAATTTTTGCTTCTGTTGCAATTGCTTTTGTGCTTTTGTCATGAAATCTTTGCCCATGCCTATTTCCTAAATGGTATTGCCTGGATTTTCTTTCAGGGTTTTTATAATTTTGGGTTTTACATTTCAGTAAGTCTTTAAACCATCTTGAGTTAATGTTTGTATATCGTGTAAGGAAGAGGTCCAGTTTTAATTTTCTGCATATGGCTGCCAGTTCTTCCACCACCATTTATTAAATAGGGAATCCTTTCCCCATTGCTGGATTTGTCGGGTTTGTCAAAGATCAGATGGTTGTAGGTCTTATTTCTGAGTTCTCTACTCTGTTCCACTGGTCTATGTGTCTGTTCTTTTACCAGTACCATGCTGTTTTGGTTACTGTTTGGTTTGTAGCATAGTTTGAAGCCAGGTAGTGTGATGCCTCCAGCTTTGCTCTTTTTGCTTAGGATCATCTTGGCTATATGGGCTCTTTTTTGGTTTCATATGAATTTTTAAATTTTTTTTTCTAATTAATTCTGTAAAGAATGTCAATGGTAGTTGAATGGGAATAGCATTGAATCTATAAATTACTTTGGGCAATATGGCCATTTTCACAATATTGAGTCTTATCCATGAGCATGGAATGTTTTTCTGTTTATTTATGTCCTCTCTGATTTCTTCAAGCAGTGGTTTGTAGTTCTCCTTAAAGAAGTCCTGCACATCCCTTGTTAGCTGTATTCCTCAGTATTTTATCCTTTTTGTAGCAATTGTGAATGAGAATTCATTCATGATTTGACTCTCTGCTTGCCTGTTTTTAGTGCATAGGAATGCTAGCAATTTTTGCATGTTTATTTTGTATCCTGAGACTTTGCTGAAGTTGCTTATTAGCTTAAGAAGCTTTTGGGTGGAGATAATGGAGTTTTCTAGATATAGGATCATGATATCCACAAAAATAATTTGATTTCCTCTCTTCTTATTTAAATACCCTTTATTTCTTTCTCTTGCCTGATTGCCCTGGCCAGAACATCCAATACTGTGTTGAATAGGAGTGGTAAGAGAGGACACCCTTTTCTGGTGCTAGTTTTCAAGGGGAATGCTTTCAGCTTTTGCCTATTCAGTGTGATATTGGCTGTGGGTTGGTTATATATGGCTTTTATTATTTTAAGGTATGTTCCTTCAGTTCCTAGTTTATTGAGAGTTTTTAACATGACAGGATGTTGAATTTTATTGAAGGCCTTGTCTGCATCTAATGAGACAATCATGTGATTTTTGTCTTTAGTTCTGTTTATGTGATCAATGACATTCAGTGTAAATTGTACCAGCTCTTGTTTGTACCTCTGGTAGAATTCAGCTGTAAATTCTTCTGGTCCTGGGCTTTTTTTGATTGGTAGGCTATCTATTACTGCCTCAATATCAGAACTTATTATTGGTCTCTTCAGGGATTCAATTTTTTTCCTGGTTCAGTCTTGGGTGGGTGCATATGTCCAGGAATTTATTCATTTTATCTAGATTTTCTAGTTTATGTGCATAGAGGAGTTTATAGTATTCTGTGATGGTTGTTTATATTTCTGTGGGGTCAGTGGTGATATCCTCATCATTTCTGACTTGTTTCTTTGATTCTTCTTTCTTCTTTATTAGTCTAACTAGTGGTATATCTATTTTATTATTTTTTTCAAAAAACAGGCTCCTGGATTTGTTGATTTTTGAATTTTGGGGGGTTTCTATCTCCTTCAGTTCACCTCTAATCTTGGTTATTTATTGTCTTTTGCAATGTTTTGGATTTGTTTGCTCTTGGTCCTCTTGTTCTTTTAGTTGTGATGTTAGGTTGTTAACTTGAGACTTTTCTAGTTTTTTAATGTGGGCATTTAGTGCTATAAATTTCCCTCTTAGAATTGCTTTAGCTGCATCCCACAGATTCTGGTACATTGGCTCTTTGTTTTTATTAGTTTCAAAGAACTTCTTGATTTCTGCCTTAAGTTGATTGTTTACCCAAGAATCATTCCGGAGCAGGTTGTTCAATTTCCATGTAGTTATATAGTTTTAAGTGAATTTCTTAATCTTGCATTCTAATTTGATTGCACTGTGGTCTAACAGACTGTTTGTTATAACTTCAGTTATAACATTGCTTTTGCTGAGGAGTGTTTTACTTCCAATTATTTATAAATTTTAGAGGAAGTGCTGTGTAGTGATGAGAAGAATATATATTCTGTTGTTTTGGGTGGAGAGTTCTATAGATATCTGTCAGGTCCACTTGATCCAGAGCCGAGTTCAGGTTCTGAGTATCTTTGCTAATTTTCTTCCTTGATGATATGTCTAATAACGTCCATGGAGTGTTGAAGTCACCCACTATTTTTGTGTGTTAGTCTAAGTCTTTTTGTAGGTCTCTAAAAACTTGCTTTATGAACTTGGGTGCTCATGTATTGAGTGCATATATATTTAGGATAGCTAGTTCTTGTTGAATTGAACCCTTTACCATTATGTAATGCCCTTCTTTGTCTTTTTTTTTATCTTTGTTGGTTTAAAGTCTCTTTTGTCAGAAACAAGGATTGCAATCCCTGCTTTTCTCTGTTTTCCATTTGGTAAATTTTCCTCCATTCCTTTATTTTGAGACTATGTGTTTCTTTGCATGTGAGATGAATATCTTGAAGACAACATACCAATGGGTCTTCTTCACTCATTATCCAGCTTGAGATTCTGTGCCTTTTCATTGGGGCATTTTGCCTATTAACATTTAAGCTTTGTATTGTTATATGTGAGTTTGATCCTGTCATCATGAGGCTAGCTAGTTATTTTGCAGACTTGTTTATGTGGTTGGTTGCTTCATAGTGTCACTGTTCTGTGTACTTCAGTGTGCTTTTGTAAAAAAATACTTTTGGTAACAGTTTTTCCTTTCCATATTTAGTGCTTCCTTCAGGAGCTCTTGCAAGGCAGGTCTGGTGGTAATGAATTCCTCCAGCATTTGCTTGTCCAAAGAAGATCTTATATCTCCTTTTCTTATGAAGCTTAGTTTGGCCAGACATAAATTTCTGGGTTGGAAATTTTTTTTAAGAATGTTGAATATTGGCCCCCAATATCTTCTGGCTTGTAGGATTTCTTCTGAGATGTCCATTGTTAGTCTGATGGGCTTCCCTTTGTAGGTGACCTGGCCTTTCTCTGGATGCATTTAATAATTTTTCTTTCATTTTGACCTTAGAGAATCCGATGATTATGTTTCTTGGGGTTGATCTTCTGGGGGAGCATCTTAATGGGATTCTCTGCAGGTCCAGAATTTGAATGTTGGCCTGTCTTACTAGGTTGAAGAAGTTCTGAACGATATCCTGAAGTATGTTTTCCAACTTGGTTCCATTCTCATCTCTTTCAGGTACCCCAATCCATTGTAGGCACAGTGTCTTTACATGATCCCATATTTCTTGGAGGTTTTGTTCATTCCTTTTCATTATTTTTCTCTATTCTTATCTGCCTATTTTAGAAAGATATTCTTCAAGCTCTGAGATTCTGCTATTGATACTTGTGATTGCATTGTAAATTTCTCGTGTTATGTTTCTCAGCTCCTTTAGGTTGGTTATGTTCATCTCGAAACTGGCTGTCCTGGCTATCAGCTTTTGTATTGTTTTATGATGATTATAGCTTCTCTGCATTGGGTTACAACATGCTCCTTTAGCTCAGCAAAGTTTATTATTATCCACCTTCTGAAGCCTACTTCTGTCAATTTAGCCATCTCAGCCTCAGCCCTGTTCTGTGCCCTTCCTGGAGAGATGCTGCAATAATTTGGAGGATATAAGGCACTCTGGCTTTTTGGGTTTTCAGGGTTTTTGTGTTGATTCTTTCTCATCTTTGTGGGGTTAACTACCTTCCATCTTTGAGGCTGCTGACCCTGGAAAGGAGTTTTTGTGGGATCTTTTTGCTGATGTTGTTTTTGTTGTTTTCTGTTTGTCTGTTTTACTTTTAACAGTCAAGCTATTCTTCTGTAGGACTGCTGCCATTTTCTAGGGGTCCACTATGGACCCTAGTTGCCTTGGTTTTTCATGTACCTTGAAGTATTATCAATCAGTGAAGGCTGCAAAACAGCAAAGATTGCAGCCTGCTTCTTCCTTGAGAAGCTCAGTCCCAGGGAAGTACGGACATGTTGCCAGCCCAAATTGTATCTAAAGGAGGTAGCTGGAGACCTCTGTTGAGAAGTCTCATCCAATCTGGAAGAATGGTATCAGGGACCTGCTCCAAGAAGCAGTCTGGTTTTTTTTGGTAGCAGAATTGTGCTGTGTTGTGGGGGACCCTTCCTCATCTGGACTGTCCAGACTCTCCAGAGTTGGCAGGCTGGAAAAGCTGAGTCAACCAGAACACAGAATGGCAGCCACCCCTCTGTCCAGGAACTTTGTCCTTCTCAGGCAGACTCCAGCCTGTTGCCACTGGCTGGCTGGAATTCCAAGCCAGTGTGTCTTAACTTGTGAGGTATTGTGGAAGTGGGGCCTGCAGAATGATGCTGCTCAGCTCCCTGGATTTAGCTCCCCTCTTAGGGGATGTAGGGACAGATCTCTTACCTTGTCAGAAATCCTGGGGCCACAGTATGCAAAACTCCTGGGTCTCTGTGTGTGCCCCAGTGGCTGCTCTGCAGGGACTTCACACAGCTCTCTGTATCAGACCCAAGGCCTTGGTGGTATGGGCTTAGAAGGGGATCCCTGATCTGCTGGTTGCAAAGATCTGTGGGAGAAGCATGATTTCCCAGGTGGAATCACACAATCACTCACCACTTCCCTTGGCTGGGGGTGGTGGTTCCTTTGGCTCTATGCCACTCCTAGGTGGGCCATCACCCCATCCTGCTTTTCTTCATTCTCTGTGGGTCGAGATGTTTGCCTAGTCAATCCCAATGTGAGAATCTGGATATTTCAGTTGAAGGTGCTGAATTCACTTGCCATTTTCTTTTCTCTCCATGAGTGTTGCAAACTGTAGCTGCTTTTAATTGGCCATCTTGGCCCAGTCCTAGACTTTCTTTTATAATGTCCTCAGTTTATAGATGAGATAATAAAGGCCAGAGAGATAAGTATTTTGTTGAGACTTCCTTTGTTGGGAACATCTTTGCACCTCTTCTCAGCCTAGCAAGCACCCACTCATTCTTCAAGGCACAGCTCAAATGTCCCTTTGTCTGAGAGACCATCTCTAACTCCTCCAGGCTGAGTCCATTGCTAAGCCTGCACTTAATTCTTGTCTCTATTATAGCAGTCAGAACAATGATCTGAAATATGGCTGAACATAAATCACCTGGGACAGTTATTAAAAATCCCAATTCCTGGGCCTTATATCAGTCCTAGTGGATCAGTGGGTCAGATTCTCCTTAAGGGTTACTTGAGAGTTTGCGTTTTAAACAAGAATTGGAGGGGACTGTCATGATGACGTGATATGGAAAGCATTAAATTAAACTAGCATTCAGCTAGGATGGTTCTGGCTGCAAGTAAGTAAAAATTTATTTCAGACTTGGTTAAGCAATAAAGTCATTTATTAGCTCAGATAACATCAAGTCCACAGGCAGAGCAAGAAGTCTTCAGATTGCTTAAAACAGCTGCTTATGTGTATCACCTAGGACACAGTAAACTTCCCACGCTCTACTCTGCAGTTGGCAAATTTAACATCATTCTAAGGTAGTATACCTTAAAGGCATTAGATGACCTCTTTAGCCCATGAGGGCATTTTTCCCATAAGTGTCTAAAAATTACTCCTAATGTTTTAGTTTTCAAGTTAGCTTAGACTTAAAGCTCTATCCCTGAATTCATCAATAGCAGGGGTGTGGGGTGGGGGAATGAAGGATGAAATTACTATAATTGGCTAAGAATAATCAACTATGGGAAATAAGCCATAAAATGCTTTAGGAGATAAATAGATTTATTTATGCACATCTGTTTCCCTCCACTAAACCATTTTCAACTGAAGTCAAGAATCATGTTGTATATATAACTCCTAGCACAGAAGGCACTCAGTGTTTACTGAATGAATGTTGCAATGAATCACATAGCTTGGAAGGGTGAACTGGTTTGACTTCCATATCATTGCCCTTACCTATACACATAGTATATTCGGTCAGGGTTTTCCAGAGAAGGAGCCAATAGGACAGATAGAAAAATAGGTAGATAGATAGACAGACTAGATAGATAGATAGATAGACAGACAGACAGGCAGAAAGATAAGGGATTTATTAGGGGAATTGGCTTCCATGATTATGGAGGCTGATAAGTATTATCACAGGCTGGAGAACCAGAGAAGCCAGTAGCAGGGCTTAGAATAAGTCCAAAGGCCTGAGAACTAAAGAAGCTGGTGGTGTAATTCTCAATCCAAGACCAAAGACTTGAGAGGCCTGGGAGGCTAAAGGTGCAGGTTTCAGAGTTCAAAGCTTGAAGAACCTGGATTTCTGATGTCCAAGGGCAGGAGAAGAAGAGTGTCCCTTTCCTGAAGAAAGAGAGAATTGATGCTTTTCCACCTGTTTGTTCCATCAGGGCCCCAAGCTGATTGAATCATGTCCATTCACATTGAGCGCAATCTTCACCACTCAGTCCACCAACTCACATAAAAATCTTCTCTTAAAACACCCTTAGAGAGACGCCGAGAAACAATGCTTCACCAGCCATCTAGGCAGCCCTCTATTCAGTGAAGTCGACACCTAACATTAATCATCAAGCATGGCTACAGAAAGGAGTTTCTTTAAGCAATCTTCTAATGGAGGGCAAGTAGGGAGATAGACATAGTATTCAGAGCAGGCCTCCTTGTTCAGGTATTCCCCCACTGAGCCTGGCAGTACAAGTGATAAAAGAACTTCTCCATTTAAAATGTTCAGGAATAAAATGCATTGAAATATCCGGGTACTCTTCTGTACCTCTTCCTTCTGATTCTGCCTTTGTAATGGACTTTATAAGCACATATCCGTTAATCTGAACACTTCTTAAGAGGTAATCATAATAACTCGCCTAGATCTAATGTTGTAGAGAAACATTTTATGGCCCTAGGATACATTTTCATCCAAGTTATTAAAGCCCAATTACATCATGTTTTCTTCTAAGGAATGCCAAGTACTTGAGGGACAATATTGCAGTCACTCTCACTTGTGTCTTGGAAATAATTACACAGATATAGCAGATAAAGTCCTCTGCCCTTCCTCTCAACGAAATGCAAAATTGTACTTACTTGCCTAAGATCACGCAATAGAATTAAGAGAGGGAAAATTGAAATAAGAATGCAATTTTTCTCTTTCTTTTGCGTTAGCTAATACACACAGCCTTCTTTGTGAAAACATTAGACATATATATTGTGATGATGAAGAAACTATCATGTTGGGTGGTCAAGGGAGGAAATAAAACTTAAGACTTTCTAAATAACATTTCTGGGCTATATCATGATTCATATCACAACTGTCAGCCTTAAACCAAGCAATGTGTTGGAATTAATACAAGAAATAATAAGTGTCTATCATTTATTATTATTGATTATAGTTTAGGTACATTAAAGGTATTTTTTGATAATTCATATTAACCCTATAAGTTGGACTCTATTTTGCTTTTTAGAGATCTGACACTCAGAGATCACTAAGATGTAGAAGGATGTACAGCTAGGAAAGGGTAGCTCCTGGAATCAAATCAAGTGTGTCTATGTTCAAAGCCCATGACCTCCCTGCTACCCCATGCTGCTCTGGAATAGTTGAGCTGGGAATTCAGCATAACTAACTCCATTTTGTTAAATTTAAACAAGTCACTAATGTCTCATTGAGTGAACTTCTTTAAATGAGGACAATATTCTCCCCTCCAAATTCTTCAGTCGGGTAACCTCATGTAAGTCTTCTAGAAGACAGCATGCCTAAAATGAGAGGCAAGGCCTCGTAACCAACTGGACCCAGATCAAGTGTCTAATAATTGTCACAAGATCACCTGCATGGGTCTTGGAACCCTTCCTACTTATTTATTCAACCAAAATAAATCTTTAGGAGTCTTGTAAAAAAAAAAAAACTATTCAAAAACAAAAGAAAAAATAGATTATTATTTTGCTCTAATGAGGTTAGGTATTTTAAACATTGTTAAGAATGTTTGGGCCACCTCTAAACAGCAGCAATTTCAGCTTTAGTTGCTGAAAATCAACCAGGACCCCAGTGAGCACACAGCTTTAAAGCTCCTTAAAGCCCCAGACTTGGGATGCACTCAATGCCAATGGAAAATTCACTGAAAAATAACAAAGAGACCAGGGCTGGCTTTGTTTCATCCAGCCTTCCTGTCTTGCCAGACCTTTCAGATAACAGAGCAGGCATATTTAAATTTGAAAGTTTTTTATGATTATTTAATAAAATGAGGATGAAGTAAGCAAATAACTGTTGAGAAGAAGTAACATTTAATTTCCAAGAGTGCCCTGAGAGACATATCATGGAGTGAAGCCACCGCAATTACTTGGGAATTCATTGTCAGAAATGTTAAACTAATTCAGGCTACAAGAAAATACTTAACAGTATTATGAAGTGTAGATATCAGTAGCCGTGGTCAGAAAATAAGCATTGTTGCAACCGCATCCAGGACAAGGTTGAAGATTTGAAATTCCAAGTCAAAGACAAAATATTCAGCCAATTATCTCTCAACTCAGAAACTTAGAGCATCAAAGTGCAGAGCTGGAAAGAATTTTTTGAGATGCCCTCAAGGGCAATCATCTCCCTCTAGGTAAGGATATATCTCAGCCATACAGAACTGATGGATTTCGAGGGGTATTTAATTTCAGGTTTCACTTTTTATTTAGCTTCTAGCTCCCTATCTAGTCTGCTGTACTGCTCCAAATGCCAAAAAATAATTTTTTTCGTATTGACTACACTGGACATATTTAGGGTGAGATTTAAAAGTGGCTCCTCCTCCATTTAACACCAATACTATAATAGAGGAAAGGGCAGGATACAGCCCAGAACACACTCAGTATTCCTTTCCTTACCACTCAATTCCCCATCATTCTGTTTCCATCAGTGGTACATAAGTTCCTCTTACCAGGTGACTGTGAACAATTTCCTTCTAGTAAAATGATTATGTCTTAACATTGTATCTTCACCCTTTTCCCCACTGAACCATATATTCGAACCATATATTCAGTAATTGAGGTTAAATACATTTCCTTAAACATTTACAAGTATAATCCTTTGTATTTTACCCTCCAATGTAGGAAAGTACCCCCCCAAAAATATGGAAATGAGAAAAATCAAGGAATTAGCTTTATGTTACTACATTCTTGTTGGATTTTTTTTTTAACCTAGCTTGGGCTGAATAATGAGCAGATATGCAAGCGTGTGTGTGTGTGTGTGTGTGTGTGTGTGTGTGTGTATAAATTTGTATATACAAAGAAAAGTACTAGAAGAAACTAACATGAAGGGTCACCTTGATTTAGCAGAGCATACCTGAGCCTATTCTCCTTCTCAGCATTTATATTTCTAAATAGTTATCTCTATTAAAAATTGGACATAGTAGCCTCTGTTGGGCCTTTTATAAACCTCAACAGAAGAAAATTAAATTGGCTATTTTTTTTTCTTAGGTTTCATGGTGAGATAGCTCTATGGAAAGTAAACGGAATATGTACCAGCTTGTTCTCATCTTCAAAACTTTGATGACTCTTTATAGATTTTCTGCAAAGTAATTAAAGTCCAATTAATTAGAAAAATATACACAATGGGCATTCTGAATATAATATCTCCAATGGGTGCAACTTTTATTATCTTAAACAAGTGGCTAAGCCAATGTTGCAAGTTTAAATTTTGAGCTCCTAAGCAAATATCTCAGAAAATACACTCTTGCACTTTGTTGACTACAAAATAAACTCCTCTCCAGTGGAGAGCTATCTCACCTCCTTTGGGAATCCATTACAGTGCAGTCAGTTTGGGTAGCATGCTGGTAGATCCCTTTTTCCTATAATGACTGTACCCACAAACATACTGAAAATGCAATATTTTTAAATGGACAGTAGAAGCTGACCACTGAAAGGAATACAAGGGGAATATTTT
The DNA here is from genome assembly GCF_000001405.40 of Homo sapiens. Classification (NCBI taxonomy): domain Eukaryota; kingdom Metazoa; phylum Chordata; class Mammalia; order Primates; family Hominidae; genus Homo; species Homo sapiens. The sequence continues at coordinate 87,011,518 of NC_000015.10, read as the reverse complement.
GGTGACATACAGAATTACCAAGTAATTTATCTCTTATTTAAATCTGGACATTCACTTCCTAAGTATACATAAATTTAGCTGTTGTTACATAATATTCCCCCTTTTCCCCCATTTATGTTCTACTTGTAAATAATGCTGGCTTCTATTACAATTTCATGTTCTCAATGGATCAACACAGTGAAGGTTTCTTTTCTATTCACTCCCTAGTTCAAATTTAGATAGTGTGGGAGTGGGCCTCTTCTCCATGCAACCATTCAGGTACTCAGGCTCCTCCCATGTGGTAGTCTCCTTCAATACACAGTTAGGGGTTGTCCTGACATCATCTAGCTGGCAGATGGGAAGAAGGGAGTGCAAAGACAAGGCAGGTTCTTATGTAACTTCTGTCACTGAACTGCAAGTGACAAATCACTTTCATTCACTATCTATGGCAAGAACTGCTGACATGGTCTCACTCATATATGAGAGAAGTTCACAAAATTTAGTTTATCTGCACTTAACAAGAAGAGAAAAATGGGTTTGGTGAGCATTTAGCCAGACTCTGCTACATTTTCTAGGCTTTGTCTCTGTTTGATCTTTTCATCTTTAGATAGATGTATTAGTCAGGATTTTCCAGAGATGGAATCAATATGATGGGTGGATAGATAGATGAACAGATAGATAGGTAGGTGGGTAGGTAAGTATGTAGGCAGACAGATAGATGACAGATAGGAGATTTATTAGGGGATTTGCTCTTGTCATTATGAAGGTTGAGGAGTCCCATGATAGGCTATTTTCAAGCTAGAGAACCAGGGCAGCTGTAGCATAGCTTAGTCCAAGTCTAAATGCCTCAGAACCAGAGAAGGTAATGGTGTAATTCTCAGTCTGAGGCTGAAGGCCTGAGAATCCAGGATGGGGAGCAGGGGAATGGCGCAAGTTGTGAAGTTCAAAGGCCAGAGAACCTGTAGTTGTGTGGTCCAAGGGCAGGAGAAGAAGAGTGTCCCAGCTCCAGCAGAAAGAGTGAATTCACCTTTCCTTTGCCTTTTTTTCTACATCAGCCCTTAGCTGATTGGATGCACTCATCCATGTTGGGTGGTGTATTAGTCCATTTTCACCCTGCTGATAAAGACATACCTGAGGCTGGGCCATTCACAAAAGAGAGAGGTTTAACGGATTTACAGTTCCACATGGCTGGGGTGGCCTGACAATTATGGCAGAAGGCAAGGAGGAGCAAGTCAATCTTACATGGAGGGCGGCAGGTGAAGAGAGTTTGTGCAGGGAAACTCCTTATAAAACCATCAGGTCTCATGAGACTTATTCACTATCATGAGACCAGCATGGTAAATACCTGCCCCCATGATTCAATTGTCTCCCACTGGGTTCCTCTCACAACACATAGGAATTCATGATGAGATTTGGGTGGTGAGACAGCCAAACCATATCATTCCACCCCTGGCCCCTCCCAAATCTCATGTCCTCACATTTCAAAACTAATCATGCCTTCCCAACAGTCCCCCAAAATCTTAACTCATTTCAGCATTAACTCAATAGTCCACAGTCCCAAGTCTTATCCAAGACAAGGCAAGTCCCTTCTGCATATGAGCATGTAAAATCAAAAGCAAGTTAGTTACTTCCTTGATAAAATAGGGGTGTAGGCATTGGGTAAATACGGCCATTTCAAATGAGAGAAATTGGCCAAAATGAAGGGGCTACAGGCCCCATGCAAGTCCAAAATCCAGTGGGGCAGTCAAATCTTAAAGCTCCAAAATGATCTCCTTTGACGCCATGTCTTATATCTAGGTCACTCTGATGCAAGTGGGCTCCCATGGCCTTGGGGAGCTCTGCCCCTGTGGCTTCACAGGGTAGAGCCTCCCTCCCAGCTGCTTTTGTGGGCTGGCATTGAGTGTCTGTGGCTTTTCCAGGTGCATAGTGCAAGCTGTCAGTGGATTTATCGTTCTGGGGGCTGGAGGCCAGTGGGCCTCTTCTCACAGTTCCACTGGGCAGTGCCCCAGTGGGGACTCTGTGTGGGGGCTCCAATCCAACATTTCTCTTCCACACTGCCCTAGCAGAGGTTCTCCATGAGGCCCTGCTCCTGCAGCAAACTTCTGCCTGGGCATCCAGGCATTTCTGTACATTATTTGAAATCTAGGCAGAGGATCCCAAACCTCAATTCTTGACTTCTGTGTACTCACAGGCTCAACACCATGTGAAAGCTGCCAAGGCTTGGGGCTTTCACCCTCTGAAGAAATAGCCCGAGCTGTACATTGGCCCCTTTTAGTCATGGCTGGAGTAGGTGCAATGCAGGGCACCAAGTCCCAAGACTGCACATAGCATAGGGACCCTGTACTGAGCCCATGAAACCATTTTTTCCTCCTAAACTACCTCTGCACCTGTGATGGGAGGGGCTGCTGCAGAGGTCTCTGATATGCCCTGGAGACATTTTCCCCCATTGTCTTGGTGATTAATATTCAGCTCCTTGTTACTTATGCAAATTTCTATAGCCAGCTTGAATTTTTCCTCAGAAAATAGGATTTTATTTTCTATCGCATTGTCAGGCTGCAAATTTTCCAAACTTTTATGCTCTGTTTCCCTTTTAAAACTGAATGCTTTTAACAGCACCCAAGTAATCTCTTGAATGCTTTGCTACTTAGAAATTTCTTCTGCCAGATACCCTAAATCATCTCTCTGAAGTTCAGTGTTCCACAAATCTCTAGGGCAGGGGCAAAGTGCCATCAATCTCTTAGCTAAAACATAACAAGAGTCACCTTTGCTCCAGTTCCCAACAAGTTCCTCCTCTCCATCTGAGATCACTTCAGCCTGGATTTCATTGTCCATATCATTTTGGTCAAAGCCATTCAACAAGTCTCCAGGGGGTTTCAAACTTTTCCACATTTTCCTGTCCTCTTCTGAGCCCTTCAAACTGTTCCAACCCCTGCCTGTTACCAAGTTCCAAATTTGCTTCCAAATATCAGGTATCTACAGCAGTGCCCCACTCTACTGGTACCAATTTACTATATTAGTCCCTTTTCATACTGCTGATAAAGTCATACCCTGAGACTGGAAAGAAAAAGAGGTTTAATGGATTTACAGTTCCACATGGCTGGGGAGACCTCACAATCATGGCGGAAGGCAAGGAGGAGCAAGTCATGTCTTACATGGATGCTGGCAATTAAAGAGAGCTTGTGCAGGGAAACTCCTTCTTATAAAACCATCAGGTCTCATAAGACATATTAACTGTCATGAGAACAGCGTGGGAAAGACCTGCCCCCATGATTCAATCACCTCCCACTGGGTCCCTCCCACAACACATGGGAATTCTAGATGAGATCCGGGTGGGGAGAGAGCCAATCAATATCAGGTGGAAGCAGATCTTCCTTACCCAGTCTACTAATTCAAATGCCAATCTCTTCTGGAAGCACTCCCACAGACGTGCTTAGAAATAATGCCTTACCAGCTATCTGCATATTTCTTAATCCAGTCAAGTTGACACCTAAAACTAACCATCACACCTTCCCTCCTTCACTCACCAGAAAAATCTATCTTCAGCAATGAATAATCCAAATTTTCTTCTTTATGACTTCCATTATTTCTCCTTATAAAGGCTGCAGAGATTCAGTTTCAGATTCAACAAATATCATTCGGAGTCCACTATCATGGCAGGTTGTTACAAGGAATTGCCATATACATTAGGCTATTTAATATAGAAACAAGCATTGTAGAGCCAGCTTTAAGATGAGAAATCTGAGGCCCAGGAATTGACTAAGCATACACAGAGGTAATCTGTAGAGTCAGCATTCCCATTTGCTCCTGTGATGGATTCACTTACATATCTAACTGAGCTGATTCTTCCACCAGCAAACATTTTATATCTTTTTGTTGCCCAGTTATTTTCTTAATTCCTTTATCCTTTATATTTTCCCTCCCAACTTCTTATATAGTTATCTCTCAACTAAAACACCTCATCCTGTCTGTGTTCTTATTCATGTCTATTATGAACAAGACTAATGCTAGCAATATATTTGTATCAAGAAAAAGTATGTTGTTTTGTAAAGAAATCAGAAATACCAATATTGAACTGGTGATATCAATTTTAAAGTTCCTACCAAAGTCCAGAGTACCTGCAAATTTTCTATTAAAATTGATTTTCTTGAGGAAATAGTTTAGCTAAAAGCAATGTATTTTTCTATCTTAGTGGGGTTTATTTTGCTGCTGTATCTAATATGGATCATTTTAAGAGTCCAGTATTCTGTTAGTTTCATTACAAACCTGTAGTATTTCAGCTGCATTATGGTTATATATATATACAGCTAGCGTAAGAACCTGGTCTTGATGCAAAACATTTCTTTCCTGGAAAAAATGTACTGTATATTTCAAATGAATACCAAACAATTTTTCTTCAGTGGCTTTGTTAAAAAGGCATAATTTCTGTGATTCTTTTTTGAACCCTTTCTATAACTTCACTTGATTTTTACCCAATACAAGAGAATTTAAACTAATTTTGTACCTTCTCTGGAGTATTATTCAGATAGAGCATGACTTAGTTTTTCCCTGCTTTGTTTTACTTTCTGCTATGTTTTGGGGATAGCAAAACCCATCCTACTTAAAGCTCAACCCCCTGTCTCACTCCTCACCCATGAAACAGGACCCATGTCAGATCCTTTACTTTTCTCTCATTCCATTCTTCTCAGGCTGTAGTCCAGGTTTAAAATCTTGGCTCCAAGGGGTTCCAAGATGGCTGAATAGCAACAGCTCCAGTCTACAGCTCCCAGAGTGAGTGACGCAGAAGACGGGTGATTTCTGCATTTCCAACTGAAGTACTGGGTTCATCTCACTGGGGCTTGTTGGACAGTGGGTGCAGTGCACAAAGCATGAGCCAAAGCAGGGTGAGGCATTGCCTCACCCGGGAAGTGCAAGGGGTCAGGGAATTCCCTTTCATAGCCAAGCAAAGCTGTGACAGATGACACCTGGAAAATCAGGTCACTCTCACCCTAATACTGCACTTTTCCAATAATCTTAGCAAACAGCACACCAGGAGATTATACCCCGTGCCTGGCTCGGAGGGTACCATGCCCACGGAGCCTCACTCATGGCTAGCACAGCAGTCTGAGGTCAAACTGCAAGGCAGCAGCGAGGCTCGGGGAGGGGCACCCACCATTGCTGAGGCTTGAGTAGGTAAACAAAGCGGCAGGGAAGCTTGAACTGAGTGGAGTCCACCACAGCTCAAGAAGGCCTGCCTGCCTCTGTAGACTCCACCTCTGGGGGCAGGGCATAGCTAAACAAAAGGCAGCAGAAACCTCTGCAGATTTAAATGTCCCTGTCTGACAGCTTTGAAGAGTAGTGGTTCTCCCAGCATGCAGCTGGAGATCTAAGAACAGACAGACTGCCTCCTCAAGTGGGTCCCTGACCCCTGAGTAGCCTAACTGGCAGGCACCCAACAGTAGGGGCAGACTGATACCTCAAACGGCTGGGTACTCTTCTGAGACAAAACCTCCAGAGGAAAGATCAGACAGCAACTTTTGCTGTTCAGCAATATTTGCTGTTCTGCAGCCTCTGCTGCTAATATCCAGGCAAACAGGGTCTGGAGTGGACCTCCAGCAAACTCCAACAGACCTGCAGCTGAGGGTCCTGAGTGTTAAAAGGAAAACTAACCAACAGAAAAGATATCCACACCAAAACCCCATCTGTATGTCACTATCATCAAAGACCAAAGGTAGATAAAACCACAAAGATGGGGAAAAAACAGAGCAGAAAAACTGAAAATTCTAAAAATCAGAGCACCTCTCCTCTTCCAAAGGAATGCACCTCCTCACCAGCAACGAAACAAAGCTGGACAGAGAGAGAATGACTTTGACAAGTAGAGAAAAGAAGGCTTCAGATGATCAAACTTCTCTGAGCTAGAGGAGGAAGTTCGAACCCATGGCAAAGAAGTTAAAAACCTTGAAAAAAGATTAGACAAATGGCTAATCAGATTGACTAATGCAGAGAAGTCCTTAAAGGACCTGATGGAGCTGAAAACCATGACACGAGAACTATGTGACGAATGCACAAGGTTCAGTAGCCAATTCGATCAACTGGAAGAAAGGGTATCAGTGATTGAAGATCAAATGAATGAAACGAAGTGAGAAGAGAAGTTTAGAGAAAAAAGAATAAAAAGAAAAGAACAAAGCCTCCAAGAAATATGGGACTATGTGAAAAGACCAAATCTACATCTGATTGGTGTACCTGAAAGTGACAGGGAGAATGAAACCAAGTTGGAAAACACTCTGCAGGATATTATCCAGGAGAACTTCCCCAATCTAGCAAGGCAGGCCAACATTCAAATTCAGGAAAGACAGAGAAAGCCACAAAGATATTCCTCGAGAAGAGCAACTCCAAGACACATAATTGTCAGATTCACCAAAGTTGAAATGAAGGAAAAAATGTTAAGGGCAGCCAGAGAGAAAGGTCAGATTACCCACAAAGGGAAGCCCATCAGACTAACAGTGGATCTCTTGGCAGAAACTCTACAAGCCAGAACAGAGTGGGGGCCAATATTCAACATTCTTAAACAAAATAATTTTCAACCCAGAATTTCATATCCAGCCAAACTAAGCTTCATAAGTAAAGGAGAAATAAAATACTGTACAGACAAGCAAATGAGAGATTTTGTCACCAACACTCCTGCCCTACAAGAGCTCCTGAAGGAAGCACTAAATGTGGAAAGGAACAACCGGAACCAGCCACTGCAAAATCATGCCAAATTGTAAAGAAAGACCATCAATGCTAGGAAGAAACTGCATCAATTAATGAGTAAAATAACCAGCTAACATCATAATGACAGGATCAAATTCACAGATAACAATATTAACCTTAAATGTAAATGGGCTAAATGCTCCAATTGAAAGACACAGACTGGCAAATTGGATAAAGAGTCAAGACCCATCAGTGTGCTGTATTCAGGAGACCCATCTCACGTGCAGAGACATAAATAGGCTCAAAATAAAGGGATGGAGGAAGATCTACCAAGCAAATGGAAAACAAAAAAAGGCAGGGGTTATAATCTTAGTCTCTGATAAAACAGACTTTAAACCAATAAAGATCAAAAGAGACAAGGAAGGCCATTACATAATGGTAAAGGGATCAATTCAACAAGAAGAGCTAACTATCCTAAATATATATGCACCCACTACAGGAGAACGCAGATTCATAAAGAAAGTCCTTAGAGACTGAGAAAGAGACTTAAACTCTCCCACTATAATTGTGTGGGAGTCTAACACCCCACTGTCAAAACCACTCAGCTACATGGAAACTGAACAACCTGCTCCTGAATGACTACTGGGTATATAACGAAATGAAGGCAGAAATAAAGATGTTCTTTGAAACCAGTGAGAACAAAGACACAACATACCAGAATCTCTGGGACATATTTAAAGCAGTGTGTAGAGGGAAATTTATGGCACTAAATGCCCACAAGAGAAAGCAGGAAAGATCTAAAATTGATACCCTAACATCACAATTGAAAGAACTAGAGAATCAAGAGCAAACACATTCAAAAGCTAGCAGAAGGCAAGAAATAACTAAGATCAGAGCAGAACTGAAGGAGATAGAGACACAAAAAACCCTTCAAAAAAATCAATGAATCCAGGAGCTGGTTTTTTGAAAAGATCAACAAATTGATAGACCACTAGCAAGACTAATAGAGAATAATCAAATAGATGCAATAAAAAATGATAAAGCGGATATCACCACCGATCCCACAGAAATACAAACTACCATCAGAGAATACTATAAACATCTCTATGCAAATAAACTTGAAAATCTAGAAGAAATGGATAAATTCCTTGACACATACACCCTCCCAAGACTAAACCAGGAAGAAGTTGAATCTCTGAATAGACCAATAACAGGCACTGAAATTGAGTCAATAATTAATAGCTTACCAACCAAAAAAAGTCCAGGACCAGATGGATTCACAGCTGAATTCTACTAGAGGTACAAGGAGGAGCGGGTACCATTCCTTCTGAAACTATTCCAATTAATAGAAAAAGAGGGAATTCTCCCTAACTCATTTTGTGAGGACAGCATCATCACGATACCAAAGCCTGGCAGAGACACAACAAAAAAAGAGAATTTTAGACCAATATCCCGATGAACATTGATGCAAAAATCCTCAATAAAATACTGGCAAACCAAATCCAGCAGCACATCAAAAACCTTATCCACCATGATCAAGTGGGCTTCATCCCTGGGATGCAAGACTGGTTCAACATACGCAAATCAAGAAACATAATCCAGCATATAAACAGAACCAAAGACAAAAGCCACAGAATTACCTCAATAGATGCAGAAAAGGCCTTTGACAAAATTCAACAGCCCTTCATACTAAAAACTCTCAATAAATTAGGTATTGAAGGGACGTATCTGAAAATAATAAGAGCTATTTATGACAAACCCACAGCCAATATCATACTGAATGGGCAAAAACTGGAAGCATTCCCTTTGAAAACTGGCACAAGACAGGGATGCCCTCTCTTATCACTCCTATTCAACATAGTGTTGGAAGTTCTGCCCAGGGCAATCAGTCAGGGGAAAGAAATAAAGGGTATTAATTAGGAAAAGAGGAAGTCAAATTGTCCCTGTTTGCAGATGACATGATTGTATATCTAGAAAACCCCATTGTCTCAGCCCAAAATCTTCTTAAGCTGATAAGCAACTTCAGCAAAGTCTCAGGATATAAAATCAATGTGCAAAAATCACAAGCATTCTTATACACCAATAACAGACAAACAGAGAGCCAAATCATGAGTGAACTCTCATTCACAAATGCTTCAAAGAGAATAAAATACCTAGGAATCCAACTTCCAAGGGATGTGAAGGACCTCTTCAAGGAGAACTACAAACCACTGCTCAACAAAATAAAGGAGGACACAAACAAATGGAAGAACATTCCAAGCTCATGGATAGGAAGAATCAATATCGTGAAAATGGCCATACTGCCCAAGGTAATTTATAGATTCAGTGCCATCCCCATCAAGCTACCAAAGACTTTCTTCACAGAATTGGAAAAAACGACTTTAAAGTTCATATGGAACCAAAAAAGAGCCCACATTGCCAAGTCAATCCTAAGCCCAAAGAACAAAGCTGGAGGCATCACACTACCTGACTTCAAACTATACTACAAGGCTACAGTAACCAAAACAGCATGGTACTGGTACCAAAACAGAGATATAGAACAATGGAACAGAACAGAGCCCTCAGAAATAATACCACACATCTACAACTATCTGATCTTTGACAAACCTGACAAAAACAAGAAATGGGGAAGGATTCCCTATTTAATAAATGGTGCTGGGAAAACTGGCTAGCCATCTGTAGAAAGCTGAAACTGGATCCCTTCCTTATACCTTATACAAAAATTAATTCAAGATGGATTAAAGACTTAAATGTTAGACCTAAAACCATAAAAACCCTAGAAGAAAACCTAGGCAATACCATTGAGGACATAGGCATGGGCAAGGACTTCATGCCTAAAACACCAAAAGCAATGGCAACCAAAGCCAAAATTGACAAATGGGATCTAATTAAACTAAAGAGCTTCTGCACAGCAAAAGAAACTACCATCAGCATGAACAGGCAACCTACAGAATGGGAGAAAATTTTTGCAACCTAGTCATCTGACAAAGGGCTAATACATCCAGAATCTACAAAGAACTCAAACAAATTTACAAGAAAAAAACAACCCCATCAAAAAGTGGGCCAAGGATATGAACAGACACTTCTCAAAAGACGACATTTATGCCACCAACAGACACATGAAAAAATGCTTATCATCACTGGCCATCAGAGAAATGCAAATCAAAATCACAATGAGATATCATCTCCCACCAGTTAGAATGGCGATCATTAAAAAGTCAGGAAACAACAGGTGCTGGAGAGGATGTGGAGAAATAGGAACACTTTTACACTGTTGGTGGGACTGTAAACTAGTTCAACCATTGTGGAAGTCAGTGTGGCGATTCCTCAAGGATCTAGAACTAGAAATACCATTTGTCCCAGCCATCCCATTACTGGTTATATACTCAAAGGAATACAAATCATGCTACTATAAAGACACATGCACACATATTTATTGTGGCACTACTCACAATAGCGAAGACTTGGATCCAAGCCAAATGTCCAACAATGATAGACTGGATTAAGAAAATATGGCACATATACACCATGCAATACTTTGCAGCCATAAAAATGATGAGTTCTGGCACAAGACAGGGATGCCCTCTCTCACCACTCCTATTCAACATAGTGTTGGAAGTTCTGGCCAGGGCAATGAGGCAGGAGAAGGAAATAAAGGGTATTCAATTAGGAAAAGAGGAAGTCAAATTGTCCCTGTTTGCAGATGACATGATTGTATATCTAGAAAACCCCATTGTCTCAGCCCAAAATCTCCTTAAGCTGATAAGCAACTTCAGCAAAGTCTCAGGATACAAAATCAATGTACAAAAATCACAAGCATTCTTATACACCAACAACAGACAAACAGAGAGCCAAATCATGAGTGAACTCCCATTCACAATTGCTTCAAAGAGAATAAAATACCTAGGAATCCAACTTACAAGGGATGTGAAGGACCTCTTCAAGGAGAACTACAAACCACTGCTCAAGGAAATAAAAGAGGATACAAACAAATGGAAGAACATGCCATGCTCATGGGTAGGAAGAATCAATATCGTGAAAGTGGCCATACTGCCCAAGGTAATTTACAGATTCAATGCCATCCCCATCAAGCTACCAATGACTTTCTTCACAGAATTGGAAAAAACTACTTTAAAGTTCATATGGAACCAAAAAAGAGCCCGCATCGCCAAGTCAATCCTAAGCCAAAAGAACAAAGCTGGAGGCATCACGCTACCTGACTTCAAACTATACTACAAGGCTACAGTAACCAAAACAGCATGGTACTGGTACCAAAACAGAGATATAGATCAATGGAACAGAACAGAGCCCTCAGAAATAACGCTGCATATCTACAACTATCTGATCTTTGACAAACCTGAGAAAAACAAGCAATGGGGAAAGCATTCCCTATTTAATAAATGGTGCTGGGAAAACTGGCTAGCCATATGTAGAAAGCTGAAACTGGATCCCTTCCTTACACCTTATACAAAAATCAATTGAAGATGGATTAAAGACTTAAACGTTAGACCTAAAACCATAAAAACCCTAGAAGAAAACCTAGGCATTACCATTCAGGACATAGGCATGGGCAAGGACTTCATGTCTAAAACACCAAAAGCAATGGCAACCAAAGCCAAAATTGACAAATGGGATCTAATTAAACTAAAGAGCTTCTGCACAGCAAAAGAAACTACCATCAGAGTGAACAGGCAACCTACAAAATGGGAGAAAATTTTCACAACCTACTCATCTGACAAAGGGCTAATATCCAGAATCTACAATGAACTCAAACAAATTTACAAGAAAAAACCAAACAACCCCATCAAAAAGTGGGCGAAGGACATGAACAGACACTTCTCCAAAGAAGACATTTATGCAGCCAAAAAACACATGAAAAAATGCTCATCATCACTGGCCATCAGAGAAATGCAAATCAAAACCACAATGAGATATCATCTCACACCAGTTAGAATGGCAATCATTAAAAAGTCAGGAAACAACAGGTGCTGGAGAGGATGTGGAGAAATAGGAACACTTTTACACTGTTGGTGGGACTGTAAACTAGTTCAACCATTGTGGAAGTCAGTGTGGCGATTCCTCAGGGATCTAGAACTGGAAATACCATTTGACCCAGCCATCCCATTACTGGGTATATACCCAAATGACTATAAATCATGCTGCTGTAAAGACACATGCACCCGTGTGTTTATTGTGGCATTATTCACAATAGCAAAGACTTGGAACCAACCCAAATGTCCAACAACGATAGACTGGATTAAGAAAATGTGGCACATATACACCATGGAATACTATGCAGCCATAAAAAATGATGAGTTCATGTCCTTTGTAGGGACATGGATGAAATTGGAAATCATCATTCTCAGTAAACTAAAGTATCACAAGAACAAAAAACCAAACACCGCATATTCTCACTCATAGGTGGGAACTGAACAGTGAGATCACATGGACACAGGAAGGGGAATATCACACTCTGGGGACTGTTGTGGGGTGGTGGCAGGGGGGAGGGATAGCATCGGGAGATATACCTAATGCTAGATGACGAGTTAGTGGGTGCAGCGCACCAGCATGGCACATGTACACACATGTAACTAACCTGCACAATGTGCACATGTACCCTAAAACTTAAAAGTATAATAAAAAATATATATATAAAAATTTTATATTTTATATTAAAAAAATGATGAGTTCATGTCTTTTGTAGGGACGTGGATGAAGCTTGAAACCATCGTTCTCAGCAAACTATCGAAGGACGAAAAAACAAACACTGCATGTTCTCACTCATAGGTGGGAATTGAACAGTGAGCACACTTGGACACAGGAAGGGGAACATCACACACCAGGGCCTGCTATGGGGTGGGGGAAGGGATAGCATTAGTAGATACACCTAATGTAAATGATGAGTTAATGAGTGCAGCACACCAACATGGCACATGTATACATATGTAACAAACCTGCATGTTGTGCACATGTACCCTAGAACTTAAAGTATAATAAAAAATATATATATATATAAAAGAAAAAATAAAGTAAAATCTTGGCTCCATGTCACCTTGGGCAGGTTGAGCTAACTAACTTGTCAGAAGTGTCTTTTTCTGCATCTGTGCAATTTGCAGTCATGCTTATATCTCAACCAAAGCCTTACTTTGCAGAATGATTGTTACAACCAAATGAGATTCTGTATATCAGCTGCCCATTCCCTTGTTGAGTACTGAGCATGCATTCCACAAATGTGGCCTTTATTGCCATATAACAAATTAACAAACTTATTGGAGAAAATAAGGTGTGATTATTATTTTCAATTTCTCTAAGTCTAGGCATGACTTATCTGGGGTCTCTATATCAGAATCTTTAAGAGGCTACAATTGAGGTATCAGCCAGGGCTGCAGCCTCATGTAAGTCTCAGCTGGGAAAGTATCCACTCCCAATTCATGTGTCTGCTGGCAAAATTCAGTTCTTCAAGGGCTGGTTGGATTGAAGTCCTCAATTTCTAGATGGCTGCTGGCCAGCAGCTGCCCTCAATTTCTTGTCCCTTGAGTCTCTCAAGATGGCAACTTGCCTTACTAAAGCCATGAAAGGATAGAGTCAATTGAGAGAATCTACTTGAAATACAAATGTTACAGTCTTTTGTATCCAGTCACTGAAGTGGTATCCTATCACTTTTGCTATATTTTATTACATAACAGCAAGTCACTAGACTAGATCATACTCAACGGGAGGGAATTACACAAAGCAAATATATCAGGAGGTGGAAATTCTTAGGAGGTCATCTCAGAAGCTGCCTGTCACAATCCCCAATCCTATGTGTTCCTAAGACATCACAGACATTCAATCTACTATATATACATAGCTCAATGTGTTACATATCTAGTTCATTTACACAGAACATGTAAAGTATAAGAAAGTAAATATATAAAATACAAAAATAGGCAAAGTGTGTGTGTGTGTGTGTGTGTGTGTGTGTGTGTGTGTGTGTGTGTCTTCCACATGTTTGGCCAATATATTGTGTTTTTAGTATATAAGGAGTTATGAAATATGTCTTCCTCTCATGAAAGAATGCACAGTTCAGGTGTTTATATTAGGTTTTCCATTAAGTCTCTTTTAAAAAAAAGGAGCAGAGATATTAAGAATGTGGGCTTTACAAACATGCTTAATGGCTCTCTCTGTGTAATTTAATAATCAGATGTTGGGAACCCATGAGGAAAAAACAAAAAGAAACCTAGCACATCAATCAATCATAAAATCATAGACTCTAGGCCTAGAGGATACAGTCTATCAAGTGATCCATCAATATCTATTGTGCTTTTTTCTGTTTTCAAAGGCTATCCTAGTTGCTAAATTCCAAAGTCTGAAGGGGGAAAAAGCCACAATTGAAAAGGGGCTTGATAAACTGAAGCTGAGAATTAATTTAGTCTTCAATTATTTTTGACATGTAAACAAATGTTGAAGCAGTCTCCTTAGGGCCAGGGGAAATTTGAAGGAGAGTATACTTCAGGGAGAGAGATGGAAAAAATGAAAACACAAAAGTGAAAGGATGCAGGGAAGAGAGGGCACTGCAGGAGGCCGCCAGGACCTGGTGACTGTAATTAGGGAAGTTGGCCATGCATTTGGTTATCTCTGAGATACAATGTATGGAAATAAGAGACCGGCATGCACAGTTAGACTCTAGAGTGCCATGGGACCAGGAAATATGATTAGACCACATACAAATCATTTAAGTTCAAAAGAAGGTTAGTGGATGAGGGACTAGGTTTATTCATAGATGCATACTTGGACAAATACAGATCAAAACAACAGGAAAGAAAAAAAGGCTATTCATGTCTCTTTTTTTTCTTTCTTCTTATTTTTTGTTTTCAATTGCAGCTTTATAAAGATGGTTATGATTCTAGAAATAAGTTTTATAATGGATATTTTCTGTGGTGGTCTCTTAAGAAATTTTTAAATCAAAATATATATTGGAGTATTAAAAGGGAGCAAAACAAAATCCACAAGTTTTGTCATTGTTTTTAATGGTGATGAACTCCAAAGTTTTCTCATTTTGGTTTAAATAAAAATTTTTAAAGTATGAGCAATAGCGTTGCTATTGAATTGTAAATGATTCTTATCAGTCAAAACCATGCTTTAGGCTTTCAGGTAAAAGATGGCAAACAGATCTAATGTGTTTATATTTTGTTCATTCCAAAGCCTACTGAAATGACAGAAATATGTAATAATAGAATCAATCAAAGCCAGCAATTCTACTCTTAGGTATATGCTAGGTATATGCTTTGAGACAAGGTCTTGCTCTGTTGCCCAGGCTGGAGTACAGTGGCACCTTCCTGGCTCACTACAGCTTTGACCTCTCAGGCTCAGGCTATCCTCCCACCTCATGAGAACAAATAAAGCATGGCTACATGCAAGAACAGGGGTGAATCTCCAAACACAGATTAAAGAAGCAGTGCACAAAGTGTATATACTGTGGAATCCTGCTTACATAAAGTGCAAAACAGGCAAGTTTAATATGGTGCTAGAGGTCAGGATAGTTGACTTCCTTGGGAGGGGGGCTTAGTATCTGGAAAGGTGCAGGACATGGGTTTCTGGAATTCCTGGGAAGAATCTGCTGCTTGATCTGGGAGATAGTTACACAAGCATACTCTTCAAAAATTAATCAAGTTATAGCCTCACAATATGTTCACCTTTCTGTATGTATAGACTTCAGTAAAAAGTTGGGTATATGAACAAATGAGTAAATGAATAAAATATCCATAGCAGGGCTAGGAGGCTGGGAGGAGTGTCATCAGCCCACATGATGGTTATGGGGTTTGTAAAAAATGCAAAGCTGATGGGAACAGGGTAAAAAATGATAAAATACAGTGAACCTGAGAAAATTGCAAACTCATCCAAGTGAAGAAGAGTATCTCTAAAAAGTGATTTTTTCCATTAGTGTTTCGAATAATTTCAGAATGATAGGCAGTGGTGTCATAAAATTAGAACCCGGAGGCTGGAGAAAATACACTCCTGCTGCAAAGACTGATCAATGCAGATTCTTATTTACAAATATGAAAAGATGACTAAAAATTCCCAAACATTTGAGGCAATTCACCCTTGTGAGAAAAAGCATCAAACCAAACAAACACAGAAAATTCAAATTCAGGAGGAAAAATTGTTAAAATTAAAAACTAAAATCTTAATGTAGCAGAGAATAATTAATGTATCAGAGACATTGGTGGCAAAAAGCTGCCCCTCAGGTCAGGCGAATTTTCTACCACTGTATTTTCAAATATTTTCTTTTTTCTCCTCTGTGCCTTCCTTCTGGAAATAATCTTCAGGGCTTTTTGAATTTTGACACATTTCTATGTCTCCTAAAAGACTTTCGCCCCAGAAGTTTCACTGGCATAGAATTGTATCTATTTGATTGAGAGCTGTGGGCTCTGTAACTTGGACAGGTTGGTTAACTTCTATGTACCTTAGTGCCCCTATGTTTGTTTATTTACTTATTTATTTTTGAGACAGGTTCTCGCTCTGTCACTCACCCTGGAGTACAGTGGCACCATCCAGGCTCACTACAGCCTTGACCTCCCGGGCTCAGGTGATCCTTCCACCTCAGCCTCCTGATAGTTGGGATTACAAGCACGCACCATCAAGTTCGGCTAATTTTTAAATTTTTTGTAGAGATGGAGTCTCTCTAGGTTGTCCAGGCTGGCTCAAACTCCTGGGCTCAAGCGATCTTCCCACCTTGACCTCCCAAAATTCTGGGATTACAGGTGTGAGCCACTGTGCCCAGCCCAGTACCCTTATTTTAAAAGCACAATTTACTATCTACCACATAGGACTAGAGAATGGATTAAAGGAAATAATGTAACACGGTCTCCATCATAGTGCCTGGCCAAAAAAACATAAAGTCAGCTCAGCACCAACATAGCTCTATGCTTGGTAAATACCAGGTTTAAAGAAATAGTTCATTACAGCCTCATATTTTACTGTATGGGTCAAAGATTTTACTTCACCCCACAGTATCTGTTTCTTTCGACCATTATAAGGTTGAGAAATAAAATGAAATTAAATCTTACATATACTTTATGTTCTAAAGTCAGCTTGTAAGATGACTAATTGGAATGTTTAAATTTGCCCTTGGAAAGCCTTTTAATGGCTTATAAAATATAGAAGGGTATATGTGATTTTTAAATACAACTTTGAAAGCAACTTTTCTTTAAGCATTTTTTTCCCTCTGAACCTCACTGAATTCTTCAAGCTCTTTTATGATAAAGAAGCAAACTGATCTACTTGCCTAGAAATAAATGTATCATTTTTTCATTGTCTGGGAAATCTGTAAAATCATTAACCTATTTTCCAAGACGACCAACCACTTCAGAATTGCCTCTTTCTAGGGCTTGAGGGAGAGTGGTATGGTAGAGAGTCTTTTAGTTATTTTCTCTTTTCTCTCTCTCTCTTTTCTAACTATTCATAATTGAATAGCTACCCAGTTGGCGTCTAACACTCTGGACAGTCTGTGCCCGGCTGTGCCCATCCGACCCCATCCTGGGACGTAGAGAGATCACAGGCCAGGATATATATATATAGAGAGAGAGAGATATTCCCTTGTTGTTTAGGCTTTTCAAAGTTGTTCAAGTGAAAATCAGTGCTCTGATTTCTGAGGGCCATCTCAATTCCAAGGCTGGGCTATCCATATCATTCCAATCTACTGCTTTGAATTTGAAAGACAAATTTCCCATCAAAACTCAGTTCCTGGTTACTTTCTTTGCTGCGGGGAGCTTCCTCTTTCAGTGGTCTCCATAGGACTGAAGTTGAGTTCTTCTTCAGAACCTGCGTCACAGAATGAATGTGACACAGAACCTGTGTCACACTGAATGAAGCGTTGTGACGTCGAATGAAAACGTCACTTTGGGGTTTGGCAGGATGGATGGGAAAGGATCTCCTGTAGAACTCAGGTTTGGATCAATATCTCTAATTCCTCTTACCCCTACCCTTCGAGAGGAGTCCCGGTTTCTGCCAAGAGCTCTCAGTAAAGAAGTGTCTAAAGAGCTATCCTTGCAAAGCAGGCCAGCGCTAATAAAATGACAAAAAGCATACTGAGAAGGGGATCTGACATTTGAAGTGGAGATTCATTGAAATCTGGCTTCAGGCAAAGGAAACTGTTGGATTTAGATAGATTTGCTTCTCTCCCTGCCTTTGGAGTGAGCTTTTATTGAAGAACAACATACATAAAGAAAAGTTCACATAGCACAAATCATAAGTGTGAAACTCACTGAACTTCAACAAAGGCAGCATACTCATATAACCACCCACGTGAGAAGAACACCAACCCCACCCCTCAGAAACCTCCCTCAGACTCCCTGCCAGTGACTACCCCACCCATAACTGCTCTCATGTTTGTGACAGCAGAAGTAACAGGTATATTTGCTTTTGAAACTTTGTTCAGCTGCCTATTCATAATACACCCTAGGAAAACTGGGTTAACTTGTGGGTTTCCATATCAGCCATGTGGGAGATAGTAATTCTTATATTATTGCCTATCACAGTGTCCAATATATAGTTGGTATTCAATAGAAGTTTTGAATAAAGGGCAAAGAAGAAAACAAGAGTTGATGTACAAAATGCCTTGGGAATAAACTGGGGTTACAAGGAGAAAAATAAGGATCCAGCTGCTTAGGACAGTACATATTAAGTGAACTGTGTCTATCAGTCACAAATTTAATTTGTAGCAGTTTATTATACTTTCCTTTTATATTACAGTTAGAGCACAATGTTGATACTCTGAAACTATTTATGTCAAATATTATATCACTTTACTTTTTATTTTAGGATAATAAAAAAATGACAAATATTGGTCATAAATGGGAAGTGTTTATTCCAGTTAGATTGAGGACCTCTGCTTAATTCAAATTTCTCTTCCACACACTCACCACACTGGAGATATTTTAGGGATGCTCATGTCTCTTTGCATAGCTCAAGTCATTCCTGCCATTTAAAACAGTCACCCGTAAGGAAACTATGACTAGATAACAATGGCTTTGAAAAGCCAAGCTAGGAACTGAACTTATCTTTTAGTATGCACCAGATAGCCATTGTGTAATATTTAGCCGTTTAGGCATTGTTGATATTGAGCAGGCTTAGCATTAGGCATGGAGGTGAAAATCATTACAAAAAAAAAAAAAAATCCAGACTTCCTTGCAATCCTGGTTGGCAAGAAACACTCAGACCCAGGGAAACAGCAGCCCTGAACCCATGGCCATCTGTCCATTTATGGCGGTGCACCCTGATGAGGGAGGTGACACTTCCGCTAAGTGCAGTGCCAATACCTAGCCAATAAGACTGCAATTAGGAAGGGATTCTGGTTCCAGCAAATAGCTGGTCACTGAGAAATAAATTTAGTAATATATCTAGTACTGTGTTCAGTGCAATAGATCAAAGTATGTGGCTTACTAGAGATGAAAAGTGCAATTCTAAAGATTTCAAGTTAAATGGGAATGTATTTTTGCATTAACTAAATATTTGCTAAGTATCTTACATAGTTCCGATGTTTCCCTCCAAACCTCATGTTGAAATGTAATCCCCATTGTTGGAGCCGAGGCCGGGTGGGAGGCGTTTTTGTCATGGGGGCAGATTCCTCATGAATGGCTTGGTGTCCTCCTGGCAGTAATGAGTGAGTTCTCAATCTGAGAGCACATGAGATCTGGTTGTTTAAAAGAGTGTGGCACGTGCTACATCCCCTTGTTCACTCTTGCCATGTGACATGCCTTCCCCCACTTCCCCTTCTGCCATGAGTAGAAGCTCCTTGAGGCCTCTCACCAGAAGCCAAGCAGATGCCAGCACCATGCTTCCTGTACAGCCTGTAGAATTAGGAGCCAATTAAACCTCTTTTCCTTATAAACTACCCAGCCTCAGGTATTCCTTTACAGCAGCACAAAAACAGACCAACAGTATCTACTATGTACCTGGTATAGGGAAGATACAGAGAAAGACAAAATTGACAGCCTTAGTCTATCCCCAACTAATACAATTGTTTCAGGAAATGCTTGATTCCAAGTCCTTGGAAGAAGTAAAGCTGAGATTGAGATTTTGGGTGTCCTTGGTGATTACTGAGGGAATTTCTATTGACCAGAATGTGTGAGGAAACCATACGCAGTGCTACGGGCTAAAGTCAGAGAGAATTGACATAAGTACTCACAGGCAGGCATCTCTGTCCCTCTCTACCTGTGTAAAACAGACAATATTCACATCCAGGCTCAAATCCTAGTTCCTCCTCAGAGCCCTCCATGGTCCCTCAGTCAAGAGTCATTCTCCCTTCCTCTGAAATTATCTTATTGCCTAGATCATCCTTATGGATTTTGTCCTGCATTGCTTTGGTTTGTAATGACTTGATCTCTCATACTTTGGTTTCCTAAGCATTTTGCAAACCAAAAATAAATAAATAAATAAATAAATAAATATAAATCTGAAATGAACAAAAAGTACATAAGGGGCCTGGAGAACTTCACTTTTGGGGAAACGATGGAAATGGGCAAACGTGTAAGCAGTTCAGATGCTGAGGGAATTTTAGAGACATATGATAGTTTTATGCAAGAAAAAAATAAGTTGGTGTTCTGTGCCATCACACTAAGAATGCACAGAGCTTCATTTCAACAAACAAACAAATGAACAAAAAATAAAAAGAAAAAGACTTTTGTATCATTTGCCAGAGAAAATTCAGATCCAGTATTAAGGACTGATCATGGGAGAAGACAGCGAGAATCCTAGACACTCTACTTCTTTCTCTTTTTTGTCTATTATAAAAAACTACATTGCAGGTCTCAGGATCAGAGAGCCTAGGTACTCTTATAAAATGTAATGCTAACAGCAACAAATGAATAAATTATGTAATCCTACCCCTCCTTCACTATTCTCAATAACAGAATCCTCTTGTATCCACAGCCAGAGTGGAGATTTCTATCCTAAGAAACATACCCTAGAATCATAGCCAGATAAAGCATTCATGCCATTCTAAAGTGAGGCCCCAGACAGCCTATAAACCTCCCCCTTCTGAGTTTCCATATGCCAAGGACTCTCCCTCCCTGTCCTTGCTCCTGGTGGCCTTGAACCACCTTCGGAGGTAGACCTTGTTTGATGTTCCCCAGCCTCCAAGCTAACTCCCTGAGACTCTTTAAACATGTGCAGGTATTTTACCTCTCTGTACCT
This sequence comes from Homo sapiens, assembly GCF_000001405.40. NCBI lineage: Eukaryota > Metazoa > Chordata > Mammalia > Primates > Hominidae > Homo > Homo sapiens. Next base: position 86,990,695 of record NC_000015.10, on the reverse strand, counting down.
CAGCTTCTCCATATAAAATGGTGGTCATAATAGTATCTACCTGTTGAAGCTGTGAAATGAGTACATATTTATGAAATTCTTAGAAGAGTGCCTGGTAGATAGTAAGTGCTATAAAAGTATTTGCTGTCAGTATGGATATTCCCCATGTGTCCAGAACCCAAACCTTTCTCTTTTTTTTTTCTGAGATGGAGTCTTGCTCTGTTGCCCAGGCTGGAGTGCAGTGGCACAATCTTGGCTCACTGCAAACTCTGCCCCCTGGGTTCAAGCAATTCTCCTGTCTCAGCCTCCCAGGTAGCTGGGACTACAAGCACCTGCCACACGCGTGGCTAATTTTTGTATTTTTAGTACAGACAGGGTTTCACCTTGTTGGTCAGGCTGGTCTTGAACTACTGACCTCAGGTGATCCAACTGCCTCAGCCTCCCAAAGTGCTGGGATTATAGATGTGAGCTATGGCGTCCGGCCCCAAACCTTTCTTATTTGACCAAGCCCCTATCCTCTCTCATCTGGAGTTACACAAGAGCCCTCTAACCATTAGTTTGCTTGTGATTTTGCTTTCTTATACGCTTTCTATCTTCCACAAATAAGCCAGAGGATCCTATTAAAAAATAAGTCACACTCTCCAGAGTTTTATCTGCTTCAGAATAAAACTCCAAAGTTCTGGCCATGGCCCCCAAGACCCTGGAATGAAGCATCTGATATTTAGAACCTGTCAGGTCAGATATGCTGCTGTGTCTTTGACTTTATAGAACCCCACTCACACTGTTACTTGCCACCCCTTCGCCATCCTGACCAACTTCTTTCTGCCACAGGGCCTTTGCGCTTGCCAATTCCATTGCCTGGAAAGTGCTTCCTGCATGTGTCCATATAGCTCATTTTCTCACTTCCTTCTGATCCCTGCCTAAATGTCATTTTGATCAGATAGAAAATTCTTAAACATCTTCTTTAAAATAGTACCTACCAATCTCTATCTTGTTCCATTTTTATTCAAAACATTGTCATATGTCATATTATTTATTTGCTTAGTTTTAAAAAAATAATAAAATCTTTATCACCATTCTTCCTTTAATCATTGCTATATACTTCTCAGATGCTAACAGAACACCCAGCACTAAGTGGGCAATTAATCAACAAATTTAATATTGGCCTCATTTTAGAAAATATTTTAATCATTTCCCATCTTAGCAGATTAAAAGGGGGAAACCCTTATAATCTCTTCAAGAGAAGGGGAAAAAAGCAGTTGAAAAAATTTAGCAATTATTTAATAATAATAATAAAATCCTTATCATACATAGACTAGAAGAAAACTCTACTAACCTAATAAAGATAATCTACCAAAAATCCATCAGACTTTACAGTAAAAGCTTAGAAGCATTGATTTAAAAATCACAAATGAGGGCTGGGTGTGGTGGCTCATGCCTGTAATCCCAGCACTTTGGGAAGCCAAGGTAAGATGATAACTTGAGGTCCAAAGCTGGAGACCAGCCCAGGCAACATAGTGAGACCCTATCTCTACAAGAAATAAAAAATCAGCCAGACTTGGTGGCAAACACCTGTAGTCCCAGCTACTTGAGAGGCTGAAACAGGAGGATCATTTGAAGCAGGAGGATCAAAGCTGCAGTTAGCTATGATCACACCATTGCACTCCAGCCTGGGCAATAGAGCAAGACTCTGACTCTTAAAAAAAAAAAAAAAAAAAAAGCAGGGGGAAAAAAATCAGAGATGAATAAGTATATTGGCAATCATCATTTTCACTCAATATTTTATTCAAAGTCCTAGCCATTCAAGTAAGAAAAATAAAATGAATAAATACTTGTCATAAATGGGACAGAAAACCCTGTCAATTCTGGGGTGATATTAATATTCATGTAAAAGAAGCATGGGAATCCATAATCAAATTACTAAAATTAATCATCAAAATGTATAACTTTGTTTCTAAACATAAGACCAAAATTTGAAATAAAGTGAGTTCTTACACACTAGCAATATACAGTTACAAAGTATAATTCGAACATACTATTTGCATTGCCAAAATATTAAGAACTGAATAACTTTTAGATAAATCTGACAACAGAAATACAAAGAGAAAGTGATAAATCCTTATGTAATAGCATTAAGAAAGGTAAAATTAAATTGTTTTTTTAATAGGTCTCCACACAATTATAAAAATATACTTCTCAAATTAATCTATAAAATGTAATATCATTGCAGTGTACCTCAAAATGATATGAATAGGTATTTTAAAGAAAAGAAACAAGAATCAACAGCAAGCAAGACATTTACCAATGAAACCTTGGTGTATATTTACTAACAAAACCACAAAGGGATCCACCAATTGAGATCAACATCTACTGGCAGATAGTAAGTACTGAGTTCTATGCATACAGAACAACCAGTAATCGTATTCATTTGTGTGAATGTAAATCGTTGCAACCACTTTGGAAAAGAAGTTGGCATTGTCTTGCAAAGCTGAAGGGTATGTTGTTTTTTTGTTGTTGGCCCACCCATTTACTTTCTCTTTGTCCAGTCCCAATGTAGTCACATGCAGGGTATTTCATCCAGCAATCCCCGCCCCAAGCAATGTACAATCAGGAAACTGACATACTCACGGGGAGACATGCAGAAGAAGGTTCATCTTGAAAAAGTTTGTAATGGCAAAAAAGTGGTAAGCAAACCAAATATGCTTTGGCAGGAAATTGGATGATTTTAATCTGTAATGTTCAGATAAATGAGTGGTACAGATTGGTGAAAATAAACCATAGTGTCACATATTATTATAGATGGATTTTAAAAACATATTATTGAGTGGGAAAAACAAACTTTAATAGGATATATATAGTAAGATACCAGCAACATAAGGTCAGAAACATACAAATATTTATAATCTATTTCTTATTAAAATATACATAATGTATGGTAAAATATATGGTGGTCTAAGAATCTGATAAAAAATTAAGAGTGACTATCATTGTCAGGAATGTATGGTACCGTAGTTATGAATAAAGGAAAGGAAACACGATTATATCATTAGATGCGGAGAAACCTTTTGATAAATTCCAATACCTATTAATGATAGAAACTATTAACAAAATAGTAAAAGAAATGGAAGGGAAAATTTCTCAACCTGATAAAACTAATTAAAAACAGCCAAATTTCACCACTTTTGTTTAATAATATAAAAGGAGGACTTGGCCTGTACGGTAAGTCAAGCAAAGAAATAAAAGGCATACAATTTGGAAATAAACTGTCTTATTTGTAGTTGATAAATCATGAATACAGAAAATTCTAAAACATCTACCTAAAAGGTTTTTAGAAGTTTTTAGAATTACTAGATACACTTATGTATGCAAAACAATGTACAAAAATCAACTGTCTTTTTATGTACTAGCAATAGCAATTGTAAATGTAATGCAAAAACACCACTGACAATGATGTCAACTGTCAGGCCTCTGAGCCCAAGCTAAGCCATCATATCCCCTGTGACCTGCACCTATACATCCAGATGGCCTGAAGTAACTGAAGAATCACAAAAGAAGGGATATTTAAATGGTCTGTTCCTGCCTTCACTGATGACATTCCACCACAAAAGAAGTGAAAATGGCCGGTCCTTGCCTTAACTGATGACATTACCTTGTGAAATTCCTTCTCCTGGCTCATCCTGGCTCAAAAAGCTCCCCAACTGAGCACCTTGTGACCCCCACTCCTGCCCGCCTGAGAACAACTCCCCCCTTTGACTGTAATTTTCCTTTACCTACCTAAATCCTATAAAACGACCCCACCCATATCTCCTTTGGCTGACTCTCTTTTCAGACTCAGCCCGCCTGAACCCAGGTGAAATAAACAGCCTTGCTCACACAAAGCCTGTTTGGTGGTCTCTTCACATGGACGCGAGTGAAATCAATGAAACAGAAAACACTTAAATATAAATTTAACAAAGCAGGTACAAGATTTGGACACTGCAAATTACCAGCATTAATAAAATAAACACAAATAAATGAAGAGATGTACAATGTTCATCTATTGATCATTCAATATTAGTAAGGTTCTCTCAAACTGATCTATAGATTCGACACAACCCCAGTCTAAAGCACACCAGATATATGACTCCTCTACATCTTCCTCCCCTTTTTCCTCCTCCTCCTCCTCCTTTTTGCTATTATTTTTGTAGAAATGGATAAGCTGATTATAAGATGTATATTATATGAAAAGGCTATACAATGACTACAAGTTTGAAAAAGAAATAAGTTGAAAGACTATCTGATTTCAAAACGTATTATAAAGTAATTAAGAAAGTACGGTAGTGTGTGTGTATATGTGTGTGTAAATATATATGTATATAGTTGTAACAAGCTAGGAGTCCAGAAATAAATACCCACATGTCAATTGATTTTTATAAAATTTACCTAGACAATAGAAGAAATAAACTTTTTTAAATTTAATTCTTTACAGATAGTACTCTAACAATTGATATCCTGGCCGGGCGCCGTGGCTCACGCCTGTAATCCTAGCACTTTGGGAGGCCGAGGCGGGTGGATCACCTGAGGCCAGGAGTTTGAGACCAGCCTGGCCAACGTGGCGAAACCCCGTCTCTACTAAAAATACAAAAATTAGCCGGGCATGGTGGCAGGCACCTATAATCCCAGCTACTTGGGAGTCTGAGACAGGAGAATGGCTTGAAACCGGGGGACAGAAGTTGCAGTGAGCCAGGATCCTGCCACTTCACTCCAGCCTAGGCGAAAGAGGGAAACTCTGTCTCAAAAAAAAAAAAAAAAAAAGATTGCTATCCATATAAAAAAATAAACTTTGACAATTCACATTGCATACAAAAGCGAACTCGAAATGGAACATGGGACTAAATGTAAAAGCTAAAACTATAAAACTCTTAGAAATAAATATGGAAATACAGTTTAGATACAACAGCAACAATATAAACCATAAAAGAAAATGTTGATACGTTGGACTTCGTTAAAATTAAAACCATTTTTCCTTTGAATACCACCACTGGGACAATGAGAAGGTAAGCCACAGAGTGGAAGAAAATATTGACACAACACAAATCTGATAAAAAAAAAATTGGAACAAAAAATTTTTACAAATCCTAAATGAGAACGCAAACAACCCAATATAACATGGGTAAAATCTTGAATTGACACATCACCAAAGAAGTTTTAAGGATGGCAAATAAGCATATGAAAAGCTGCTTAGCAGCGTTAGTCATCAGGGGAAAGCAAATTAAAACCATAATACGATGTCACTGCATACACATTACTAAACTAAAATTAAAAAGGCTGACGATGCCAAATGCTGATGAGATATAAAGCAACTGAAATTCTCATACATTGCTGGTAGGGGTGTAAAATGATACAACTATGAGGAAATCATTAGGAAGTTCCTGATTAAGTTAAACACAACCTACCATATGAACCAGACATTTCATTACCAGATACTTACCCAAGAGCAATGAAAATAGATGCCTACACAAAGCATTGTACATGAATGTCCATAGAGGTTTTATTCACAATAAGCAAAAACCAGATATAATCCAAATTCCCATCATTAAGAGAATGGAAAAACACAATATAGCATATCTACACAATGTACTACTATTTTGCAATAAAATTAGGATACTACTAAAACATGCAACCACATAGATGGATCTCCATGAATGAATCATTATGCTGAGTAAAAGAAGTCAAAAATAAAAACTGAATGTTTCAATTTATAAATCGAAAAACCTAGAAAATGCAAACTAACCTATTTTGACAGAAGGCAGATCATCGGTTGTCTGTGACCAGCCAGGAGTGGAGGCAGGGATGGAAGTATTTTGTATATATTGTAGTGGTGGTTTAACAAGTGTATGTGTCTGTCAAAACTCATTGCACTGTGAATTGTAAATGGATATTTTTTTAATGACACCGTTAAAATAAAAAAGCAAGCCACTAACTGGGAAAAATATTGCACCTATATGTATATGAGAGAGGTCTTGTCTCCCAACTATATGAAGGACACTTAACTCAATCATAAAAAGAAAACAGGCCGGGCGTGGTGGCTCACGCCTGTAACCCCAGCACTTTGGGAGGCTGAGGCGGGTGGATCACAAGGTCAGGTGTTCAAGACGAGCCTGGCCAAGATGGTGAAACCCTGTCTCTACTAAAAATACAAAAATTAGCCAGATACGGTGGCAGGTGCCTGCAACCGCAGCTACTTGAGAGGCTGAGGCAGGAGAATTGCTCGAACCCAGCGGGGCGGAGGTTGCAGTGAGCCGAGATCACGCCACTGCACTCCAGCCCGGGCGACAGAGTGAAACTCTGTCTCCAGGAAAAAAAAAAAAAAAGAGAGAAAAAAATGGAAAACAATCTACTTTGAAAAAATTGACAAAATATGTCAATAGACACATTTCCAAGAAGATCTACGAATGATCAATAAATACATAAAAAGATATTCAACATCATTAGTCCTCAAGAAATGTCCATTTAAATAATAGTAGCTAAAATTAAAACAAAACTTTGAACTAAGCCTACCTAATGAATATGGATTACCTGAAACCTCCCTACATTTCTGGTGGGAATGTAACATGAGTACTAACACGTTGGGAATGTTTTAAAGTTAAACATAGGACTTACCATACAACCCAAAAATTTCTCCCCTGGGTACTTATCCAAGAGAAATAAAATGATATGCCCACATAAAGCATATGCCTATACTTGTATATAAATATTTTAGGATCCAAATTAATAAGAAACACCTTAATTGTCCAGCAACAGAAGAGTGGGTATGCAAACCGTTGCATACAGTGGAATACTACTCAGAACTCAAAGAGAACTACCTATGTACACAACAACATGGATAAATCTCAAAGCACTATATTGCACAAAACAAGCCAGAGACACCAAGTACTTTTGTATAATGTACGATTGTATTTATATAAAATTCTAGAACACTGAAGACTAACCTATATTGACAGCTGATACTGGTTGTTTGAGGCTGGAGATTAGGAAAGGGGCTACTTGCAAAGGAACGCATGGGAACCTTTTGGAGGTAACAAGTCTGTGTTCTCTATCTTGATTATGGGTATATATACTTGTCAAAAGATATCAAACCATATACTTAAAATGTATGCATTTATTGCATATAATTACATCTGAATAAAGCTGAGTTTTTAAAAATTCAAAAGAGGGGTTAACATAGTCAGGAAAGACAAAAGAACATCAAAAGACCTTCAGGGGTATTGCTGATATTTCATCACCAGGTCATAAGGTAGGTGTTTGGCACAAGAATTTTTGTTTTATTATATTTCAAGCCTTATATACTCATCATATATATTCTTTGTGCGAATGAAATATTTCATAATAAAAAATAGATTAGCCATGGTCTGGGAGATGATAGTAGCCATGCATATAAGTGACAAAGATTAATATACTGATTATAATAGAAGATCCTGCAAATCAATAAGAAAAGATAAACACCACAGTAAATATTAGGCAAGATATATTAGTAAGCAATTTGAACAAGAGGAAATGTGAAGATCAATATACATTCAAAAAGAAGGTCAACTCAATAGTAATCATGGAAATACTAATTAGAACCATAATAAGACACCAATTATCACAACAAAAACAAAACAAAAACAAAACAAAAAAAGGTGTGATAATAGTAAATTCTAATGAAAAATGGAAATTTAAATTTGTAGAACCACCCTGAAAAGCAAATTCCAGTCAACTAAAAAATGGCGTATTCTGATCTAGACAAACTCACAGGTTCTCAAGAATATACAGCTGATCCTTGAACAGCATGAAGATGAGGGGTGCCGCTTTTCCCATTTGGTTAAAAATCCTTGTATAACTTTTGACTCCTCAGAAACTTAACTACTCATAGCCTACTTTGACCAGAAGCCTTACCAATAGCAAAAACAGTTAACACTTATTTCGTATTATATACTGTATTCTTACAATAAAGTAAGCTAGAGAAAGGAAAATGTTATTAAAAAAATCACCAGAAAGAGAAAATATGTTTACTGTTTACTAAGTGGAAGTGAATCATCATAAAGGTCTTCATTTTCATTTTCTTCACATTGAGTAGGCTCAGGAGGAAGAAGAGGAGGGGTTGGTCTTGCTGTCTTAGGGATGACAGAGGCAGGCGAGGTGGAGGAGGTAGAAGAAAAGGCAGACACACTGTTTCATCTTTATTGAAAAGAATCCATGTATAAGTAAATGAGATCACATTCATATTGTTCACAAGTCAACTGTATATAAATATTCCTATCAGCTATGTTTATAATAGCAAAAAAAAAACAAGATAAAAGAAAATAAGAATGTACCACAAGCTAAATGTCCATCAACATTATACAATGTATACTATAAAAGAGTAAAATAGGTATCAACATGAGTGAGTTTCAAAACATAATTATGGGTGAAAATATATGTTCTCTGCTTAATGAAATTGGAAATGTGCATATTTGACAATTTTAAAACCATTCTGCCTATTATTTGGGATGATATAACTATATGATTAAATATAAAGAAGTTCTTAGGGATAAGAAACTCTTTCTGAGGGCAGTAACTTTTTCTAGTTTGGGAGGACATTAAGAAGAATGTGATCAGCATGAGGTACCTGGGGCCTTCATCGTTTTGATGATCATTTCTTAAGCAGAATATTCATAACATGAGTGTTCATGATATCCTTACTCATATTTGGTCTGTTGAAAATATTTTACATTATAATTTTTAAAGTAATTATAGGAAGCAAAACAAATAAAGAAAATTAAGAATGAGAAGAATTTTCTGGTCCCAGGAGGAATCATTCTGCTGGACTAAGATCCACTTACTCTCTGTGCCTCTTGTGCCATAATCATCTCAGATGTCTTTACAAAGCTGATGGTTTAGAATGGTGATGGATCCTGTTTTCCTGTTTTGTCCCAAGGCAACTTTCATTTTTCTGGGCCTAGAAGCTGGCTTAACGGGGAGATATTTTGGTCATAGGCATTCAAAGAAAAAACAATTTAAATCAAGCAAGGACCATCATTTCAAACTCAAAAAAAGGTGCAACTGTATTAAAAGTTTCAAAAGTATTCTGCATTTCTGTGACGAAAAACAATCAAAATCTATGTCAAAGGTTTATACTAGAACTATGTAAAGAGCACTTACAAGTCAAGGAGAGAAACCAAGGAGATACATGGACAAAGATCATGAACAAAATACTCATATAATAGTGACGAAGAGCTGAGAAACATATAAAGACATTTCTTATAAGTAATTAATGAAATTCAAATTAAACAAACATTAGCTTTTCTGTCCATTAAACAGGCAAAGTTTGAAAAACAATGACCATGGTGTTGCACAGACTGCAGTAAGACTGAGACTGTACGATGCAACTAATGAGAATGAAAATTGATAAATTCTTTCTGAAAGCACATTATTAAAATATACTAATAAATTTAAAATATTCATACATTCTGGTTAAATAATTAATATTGTAGAATATTCACTGAGGAGATACTAAGAGATGTGAACAAAAGTATACTTATAAGAATGTTTTTGCAATCCCAGCACTTTGGGAGGCCGAGGTGGGTGGATCACCTGAGGTCAGGAGTTTGAGACGGGTCTGACCAATATGGTGAAACCCTGTCTCTACTGAAAATACAAAAGTTAGCCAGGGGTGGCAGCGTGCGCCTGTAGTCGCAGCTACTCAGGAGTCTGAGACAGGAGAATTGCTTGAACCTGGGAGGTGGAGACAGTCGTGAGCTGAGATCACACCACTGCACTCCAGGCTGGGTGACAGAGCAAGACTCTGTCTCAAAAAAAAAAAAAAAAAAAGGATGTTTCTGAAGCACTATTTATATTTAGTAGACAGTAGATAAAGCTTCAATGATCATGAAATTAATTATGTTCATATAATCATAAGTGGTTTTAAAATAATATATAATTTGAGTTTTTAAAATAATAGCAAGAGAAACGAATGAGAACTCAATATTTAATGAAAAAACATGATGCAAGACTCTATTTAGTATGATGTCAATATTGTATTGTGTGTGACTAGTGGAATCTACGTTTTTGTCCATTTTTGAGACAAATGAAGGAGGCATATTTTCTCAAAAAATCTCTCTAATATGTCTGCTGCAGCCCACAACCTAGGAGAGAAGTTTACGATTTTCTTAGAGGAGGAATGGAAGTTACTTTTTAAGTATCATTGACAGAGGATTAGGCTTCCCAGGGAAGATGCTTTCACAGAATTCGCTGAGCCATTTTCCACTGATGAATTTTGCAGCCCCTTTGCAGTATGAATCTGACTCTGACATTGATATACACAGCAGCCAATGCTATTTTTTGGAATGCTCCCGCAGGTGGCAAAATCTCCCATTCAAACAGAACATTAAATATAGTTTAAAATCACAATAACACACAAAAAAGCAATCAGCAGGCAGCTCTAACTTCTGGCCACCGTCTATAAACAGGTGGTGAAATTCTTGTACCAACCAATTATTCAGAGAATATTGGATAAAATCAATGGCTTCAACTACACTTCTGATTTAAAACTAGGATCTGATTACTGAGTTGAGTTGCTGCTCTAGGAGGGCAAAGAATTCAGGATTGAGGTTAAAATCAAATAAGATGACAAAGGTTTTTTCTTTTTAAGAAGCTCCTTCCTAGATTTCAATCCCAACAATTTCTCAGGCTATATTTGGAGATAAGGGCATTAGGGGAGAGGAAGGGAAAAGAAAGTGAGAAATTGCTCTCACCTGTTAAAAAGTCTCTTAGTGGATCCCAGTAAAAATCACTTGGTAGATTTCTCTCTGTTGTTATGGGATGGGAAAGGGAAACAGTGAGATGTGTATGAGATGGGGCCAAGAGGGGTCCTTCACTCTAATATGGTTTCAAGTTCTTCAAGAAAGTGCCTCTGGCCGGGCGCAGTGGCTCACGCCTGTAATCCCAGCACTTCGGAAGGCCAAGGCGGGCAGATCACGAGGTCAGGAGATCGAGACCATCCTGGCTAACACGGTGAAACCCTATCTCTACTAAAAATACAAAAAACAAACAAACAAAAAATTAGCCGGGCGTGGTGGCGGGCACCTGTAGTTGCAGCTACTCCGGAGGCTGAGGCAGGAGAATGGCGTGAACCCGGGAGGCGGAGCTTGCAGTGAGCCGAGATCGCGCCACTGCACTCCAGCCTGGGCAACAGAGGGAGACACCATCTCCCCCCCGCCAAAAAAAAGAAAGAAAAAAAGAAAGTGCCTCTACATTGCTTTTAATTATTGGCTCACTTACCTGTGTGTTTTCAAATAATCTACTCTTAAATTGTATCATGTATTAGATATAGTAAGATAACTGTGATTTTAGGACATTGGGGGAAACAAATGTGCATTATAATTGTGGATAGTTATTTTATTTGAAATAAGGTGCACTCGAATTTTTGTTTGCATTTTCAATATTGCACTGCATTTCCCAAATTGTCATAATGGATTTTTCTTAAAGAGCGGCTTATTCTTCATGATTTATATTTTAATTGCTCAGATAGACACATTTTTAGCATTTTAATAATTTAAGGACAAGTGACCAAAATGTGTAGAAATAGTTCAGTTTTAATGACAGTTTAGATGAAAGCATCACCAAGCATTACAAGTAGGATTTACCTCCTCACACTGTGTCATGCCAGTGAATAGGATACAGGTTTTCTGAAGCCTGTGCCTTCACCAGTTCCAGAATGCTCAATACAGACATGTTAATATCTCCTTCAGTTTGAGTGTGAATTTGAAAAGCAAGAACTCATTAAATGATTCCTGTCAGTTTTCTGCCTCAATTCTCCACCTCTTATGGGTTCCCCCTGACTGGATCCACTGGACTATGTAAGTTCAGATTTATTTCCAAGGAGAAAATAGGCTGATGACAAGACATAGTAAGAGGCTCCATATCTTGCCAGTCTGAGAGGCCTTAATATTATTTGTTCTTTTACATGAACTGCAGTGACTTAGAGCTTATCTCTAAGTTCTTCCCTCCTGCCCAGCTCACAGCCTGACCCCAGAGGTGCTAACGTGATCTGATTCTGAGGGCTTCAGTAACCACATGTTCACTCCTTCACCTGGGATCCTTTGGTGGGGCTAGGTTTCTGAGCTGGTTTATATTTTGGTCCTACATCAGTAACTTTTCTGAGTCATTCATTTTCTGTTAAGGAGCACTACTTGTTTTACCTTGCTGTAGGGCTGCACGAGTACTTAAACCCCCAGCTTTGTAAGTCAGGCTCTGCAGCTCATAGACATTTCCCAGAAGCTATTTGTCTAAATCTTCGTTGCTAAATTTGGTCTGCCTCCTACTTTTAGAACTTTTGAATATTTATGACCATCACTAATATATGTGCCCTAACTGAAACTTACAATCGCTTTGTGCTATCTGGTCAATTCCATTGACCCTATTCCCCTAACCTAGGAAGAAGATCTACTTTCATTCTCTGAACCTTAGTGTATTCTTTTTTTAGTCTTGTTGCAAGTCTGTATATGGCATTTCAGATATGAAAATTTCAACCTAAGTGTGTGTTGACTTACTTGTAAGGTTAACAGACAATAGTGGTTAGGTAGTAGTCTGTGAATTTGGCTGATGGAATTACTTATAGACAGTTTTAACTGAATTAGAAAAGTAAGCATTAGTTTAAAATAATACTGCTTTTATCTAAAAAATTATTTATAAAAGACTACATGATAGTCTTAGAAACATGATAGCTTAGAAGATAATTTTGATAAAATTTAACATTTCTTATTTTAAATATCCTTAGTAATTCAGGAGTAGAATGATTCTTCTGGGGCTCCACAATCAACTTAATAAACAAGCTAAAGAGGCATTCCCCTTAAATTTGAAAATTAAGACATATTTCCTTATTCAGTAGTCAATATCGATCTAAAAGTTTTTAAGTAAGCAATAAGAAGAGAAAATAACATCAGAAATAATCATACAAAAGTAGGATGCAAATTCATAATCATTTGCAAGAAAATGAAATCTAGTAGACTTAAGTAATTAATTACATACTAAATTCATAAAACCCAATAATTTTCCTATCATTATAATAACAACTCAGAAAAATGTAATGACAAGAAATAAATCTCATCTATAATTGCAATAACAGAAATGTAATGCTTAGGAATAAACTTGACAAATATTATATTGCAGTTAAGGAAAATAAACAGCTTTTTTTCAATATATAAAAAGATTTGAATAATGGCATAAATTAATCTCTAATTTTAATGTGCAATGACTATCCAATGATATTTGATGAGTTCTTTTTATCTATAAAAATAAATGTATCACAATAGTAAAAAAAAAAACTTTAATAAAGAAAAAGGAACAATAAGGAACTTACCACACATTACAATTTATTATAAAATTAATAAAGTAGTTTTCTATTAGCTTAGTAGACCGCTAAAACTGCATACAAAATCCAATGCCAAAGTCAAATATATATAAGATTTGCTATGTGTTATGAGTGGCACATGAAAAAATGAATTTTTATATAAGTGATATTTGATGGAACAAATGAAAATTTATTTGGAGAAAAAAATGGAAAATGTTACCTCATAACTTATAGCACCAGAAATATGAAATCTTTATATAAGATGTAAAACACACACACACAGAGCATAAAATACCTGAAGAGAACAATAAAAGATGTAACTTTCACTATATTAAAATGTGTCACTTTACAGCAAAACAGTGAGTCAAAATTAAAAGACATCAACAAATTCAGAAAATATAACATGCTGCAAATGTAGTATAAGTATCTTTGAAATATATATGAAGACATTTATAAATCACTAAGAAGACAAACAACTTGAGTGAGGACAGCAACAGATCCATACACGACATAAACAAAGTTGTTTTTGAAATGGTGAATATGCGTATATACGAATAAATATATGAGCATATCTATCTGTGTTTATGTATAAATTCCACTCTTTTTGTAATAAAAAAGATACGAATTTAAAAAAAAATCTACAAATTTTGTCTATCAACTTTGAAGAGTTTAAAAGGAGTATAGGAATAATATTGTTGAGCTGGGTATTACATCTCACTAGTGTAAGAGAGCTTTAGAATTACTTTCCTTTTAAAGACAATTTGGCAGTATGAATCAAAATATTAGACTCAGTAATGCCACATTTAGAAATATATCCTAAGAAAAAGGCATGCAAAAGTTAGCAAAACAGTTGTTTATTCTAGCGTGTTTATAATAAAATATTTAAAATCATCCAAATGCCAACAATAAGCTTTAGTTAAATAAACTGGGGTACTTGAGAAAGAAACAAACAAATGCAATGCTATTTAGCAATTAGAAATTATATGGGTAAAGAACATCTAATGACTTGAAAATTTTTTTATGATATATTTCTAAGTTGTAATAAAAAATTTATGAACAATATATGCCCTACCATCCAAAATTATACATGGATACATATTCACATATATATACATATATACTACAGATATATAAGCATATATATTACTAGAATAAATTATAATTTCTTAAATAATATAATTTATTAATACATAAATAAGTAAAATCATAAATAAAAATATAATAAATGATTTAGCCTATGTGATAGATCTAAAATTTTTTATCCTATTCATACTTTTATAATTTTAAAACTTTCTACAATGAATATGTGTAACCAACATAATAATTTTAAAGTATATGATTTTTTTGCTTATTTACTCAGTTATTCATTCACATACTCAGCTATCATTACTGAGCAGCTGCAGACAGTTTATTAGGTATGAAGTTAAACTGCTCTGCTGTCATGGGGCTTGCAGCCTAATGGGATAGCCAGGCCAAACAATCATGCAGAAATTCCATGATTTCAAACATTTTGGCTATCTAGGAAAAGAACTGACCAGGTGTTCTTGAGAATTTATAACTGCGATCATATTTAGTCTGAAGACCCAGAGGATGCTTTCCTGCAAAATTGACATTTAAGCTGAAAGACAGGTTGAGTGTGGGATGGTTAAGCAAAAATAAGGAAAGAAGTTCTCAGACAGAAGGAACATCATTTGCAAAAGTCCACTGTGTCAGGAGGGAGCCTGAAACATTGTGCTTTAGAAACATTGCAAATATTTGCTGATGAGGTTGGAGCATGGAGAGCAATGGGAATTTTTGGAGACAGGGTCTTTAGTTGTAAAATAAGGGAAATACTTTGTCTTTGATATGGCTTGACTGTGTCCCTACCCAATTCCCATCTTGAATTGCAGCTCCCATAATTCCCAGGTGTCGTGGGAGGGGCCCTGTGGGAGGTAATTGAATCATGGGGATGGGTCTTTCTCTTTCTCGTGCTCTTCTGGTGATGGTGAATAAGTCTCATGAGATCTGATTTTTGTATAAAGGGGAATTTCCCTGCACATGCTCTCTTGCCTGCCACCACGTAAGAAGTGATTTTGCTCCTCCTTCACCTTCTGCCATGGTTGTGACACCTCCCCAGCCATGTGGAACAGTGAGTCAATTAAACCTCAGTCCTTTATTAATTACCTAGTCTCCGGTATGTCATTATTAGCAGCTTGAGAACAGACTAATACAGTATCCTTAGAGCAATGGGAAACCACTGTGGGACATTTTATCTCTTTGCTCCTCTCAAAAAAGCTCCAGAAAGTTGAGGGGAGGATTACTTGGTCCTGTCTCCAGAACCTCAGAGCTAATGAGAAATGAATACCAGGAGTTCCCCAAAACCACTTATTTTAGAGACCTCTTAGACCCTTGCCTAAAGTCCCTAATACCAAGAAAAAAGCTCCAATAATCCCCCTGCAACATTATTCTGCTTTATATCTCCACTCAGGAACTTCAAAATAATCACCCAGAAGTGTGGTTTCTCTCCTGTCAATTTACTACATTGTTACCTCTAGCCAACATACAGTAAATTCCACCATATCCCCAACTAACTTGCTTGAGATTCTGTTTTTGATCTGGCTCAGAGTGGAAATTCAAAAACTGATAGTCATAATTAGCTAGTATTGCTCATGTCCTCTCTGTTCTGATCACTGTTTTTTTTACTTGCTATTATTCCTTTTGATCTTTCTTCTCATCTTTTTTTGCAGAAAAGTTAAATATATAAATATATATAATTTATATTATATAATTATATATAATTTTTATATATTTAATATATATAATTTATATTATATAATTATATAATTTTTATATATTTAATATATATTATATATATTTATATTCAATATATAAAATATGTTTATATTCAATATATAAAATATGTTTATATTCAATATATAAAATATGTTTATATTTAATATATAAAATATGTTTATATTTAATATGTTTATATTTAATATATTAAAATGTTTATATTTAATATATTAAAATGTTTATATTTAATATATTAAAATGTTTATATTTAATATATTAAAATGTTTATATTTAATATATTAAAATGTTTATATTTAATATATTAAAATGTTTATATTTAATATATTAAAATGTTTATATTTAATATATTAAAATGTTTATATTTAATATATTAAAATGTTTATATTTAATATATTAAAATGTTTATATTTAATATATTAAAATGTTTATATTTAATATATTAAAATGTTTATATTTAATATATTAAAATGTTTATATTTAATATATTAAAATGTTTATATTTAATATATTAAAATGTTTATATTTAATATATTAAATATGTTTATATTTAATATATTAAATATGTTTATATTTAATATATTAAATATGTTTATATTTAATATATTAAATATGTTTATATTTAATATATTAAATATGTTTATATTTAATATATTAAATATGTTTATATTTAATATATATATGTATATATTCATGGCACATTGCAAACATTTTTTAAAGGATTAAGAACACTGGGGGTACGCAGATTTTATAATTCTGCTTTTCAATGAAGAAATATATTCAGAAATGTAAAATGCATTGCTGAAGGACAAACCTGGGGAAGCCTGGTCTCTTAACACAAGAGAATGCTCCTTTCACCACAGCATACCACTTTTTATTAAGCACAAAGATCCTTTCTCTTTCTGCCTGGAGAATAGAAGTTGCTGGATTACTATGGCTATGTCTGTGTAATGTACTTCTCACAGTAGTTAGCATAGCATTATGCCCTTTTAGGTGCTGAAGAGATGCTTTTGGATGATTGACAGCCAACTTGTGATTTTTTTCCGATCATGCTAGGCCAACCTGACATGAGAAGTCTTGGGAGGAACTAGTTCCCTGAAGAGGAATGTAGGCTGACACTGAGTGACTTGGAAATGACAGGAAGTCAATTGAAATTGCTACTATAGTTAAAATGTCCTTTTAAGTAATTCTACATAAAATAGATTTCTCACCATCAAGAAGCTTCAACTGTTGATGGTGTAGCAATTTTAAGTCACAAAAGTAAGTTTAGGTTTCATGAGCATAAAATCATTAGGAAGATGATACTGTTCACATGTCACCATGCTCTTCATGTGGCTATTTAATGTCAGTGGAGTTTTAAACAAGGAATAATAACAACTAATATATACCAATTGCTAACAAACAGGACTACTGACCATATCTATTCATCATTTCATACCATCTTCACAACAAGCTTACAGCATCACAAATACATACCAGTACTACTGTTACACAAATGCCAAAACTGAGGCTTAAAGAGGTTTTGAGATTCACCAAAGGTCACACAACCAGAAAGTTGCAAAAATCCAATTTGTCTGATCCAAATTCTTTGTTCTTAACCACCGAGCTATACTGCTTATACCAAGATTATAATGAAAGAAGCAGATGGCTACTCCAGAAATTTGATTCTGGGTGAAGTTTATTGAGACTCTGGATCTACCATTGTCAGAAAAAAAACTCAGAAAAATTACTTGTCAGATTGTGAAAAACTAAGTTTTAAGGGAATGAAAATTATCAGACTTGCAATAGATTAGCATACAATGAAAGAGAAAAGAAAGCTTTTGTAAAGCAGAATGGCCACATTAGCATGCATGCTCAGTGCATTCTCCCCCTGTAAGGAAAGGGGAGCAAACAAACATGCAAATATTTGGTGATCAGGAAATCAGAAATGCAGGTGAGTTTCAGAAGTCAAACATTTAATGGTATCTGGCCAAAAGCTCAGTGCATCTATGTAACATAAAGATAGGCTTGACAGTAATGCCCATAAGATAAAAGTGTGATAGATAAGATTCTTATTTTCAAATCAGAAGTTATAAATTTAATAATTTCAGTAAATAAAAAACGCTTTGTTTGAAATACATATCTTTATCTGCAATAGACCATTTATCATCCAAGCCTGAATGAAGTCTATGTCTTGGTCTGGAATGGCACCAACAGGTGCCACTATTTCCTCAGACCTACTAGAATTTCACGTCTTAGTTATATGTTGGGCAAATAGCAAGGCCTATTTCAGGAATGCCAAATGTTGTATCTGTGAAACTTCTTTCTCCTTCTCTCCTCAGATCAATAATCTATGACAGAGTTGGCAACTAGGGCTCACAGAGTGGTAATCATCTATTTGGCATGGCTTTCTGACATGCTGTGTTAAGATGGATTCTGAGGTCTTATCCAGGGTAAATGGAAAACTATATTCATCAGTGTATTAGTTCGTTTTTGTATTGCTACAAAGAACTGCCTGAGAGGATAATTTATAAAGGAAAGAGGTTTAATTGACTTACAGTTCAGCATGACTAGGGAAGCCTCAGGGAACTTAGAATCATGGCAGAAGGTGAAGGGGAAGCAGGCCCCTTCTTCACAAGGCAGCAGGAAGGGGAAGTGCCAAGCAAAGTGGGAAGAGCCCCTTATAAAACCATTAGATCTCCTGAGAACTCACTATCATGAGAACATCATAGGCGAAACTGCCTCCATGATTCAATTACCTCCACTTGGTCTCTCCCTTGACACAGGGGGATTATGGGGATTATGGGGATTACAATTCAAGATGAGATTTTGGTGGGGACACAAAGCCTAACCATATCAATTAGTTAATTCAGCTGGCCAAAGAATGAAAAGAGAGGGAGCTGCAATGTTTCCAGATACCAAATTACCTCAGTTATTTAAGTTACGCAAATAAGAGGAGAAATCATGTATTTTACTGACTTAGTAACATATTAGATGCTAGAATAGCAGCTATTCCTATTTTTTCTTTTACCTTTCTCATAGAGCTCAGTGTTTTCTGTTCTTGACTATTTAATTAAAAAGCACATCCCCTCTCCCCATATCCACATACTTGGGTTAGTAGGAATAGTATAAATGAGGCAATATTTAGCATTAATATCAACTGGTAACCTTTATTAACAAGCCATCCCTTACTGTAGAATGCTGTTTAGAGCAGGGTGCTAAGGAAACACGTAGTAGATGGCAATTAATGTCTCACCACATGTCACAAAATACAGCTCTTAATAGAAACATACTCAAAAAAGGGCATAAGAAATATACTTCTCTCAGGTTTGAAGATTCCTAGCATTTCTAGGTTTCATCTACATCCAAGTATGACAGTACAGTTTTCCCAGTTCATGCAAACAGGAAGAGCTAATAGGTAAAGTGAGCCATGCTCATCTTGGGTACTTGATCTTCTAATTTGGTTTGAACTGTCCTGAATTCGAGTTGTCCCTCAATATCCTTGCAGGATTTGTTCCAGAACCACTGCAGATGCCAAAATTCACGAATGCACAAATCTCTTATATAAAATGGTGTACTATTTGCATATCATCTACACACATTCTCCTGTATACTTTAAATTATCTCTAGATTACTTGTAATACCTAATGCAGTGGAAGTGACATGCAAATAGTGGTTAAATGTATTGATCTTATTTGTATATTGTTATGTTTTATTATGTTTTTTCCAAACATTTTAAAACCTCAGTTCGTTGAATCTGTAGATGGAGGACCCATAGATATGGAGGGCCAATTGTACACTATTCTGCAGTTCAGATATCTAGGGGAAAGTTTCAGCTAACTTCCATCCAATATGCATATGGAAACTGAATGTGGTAGGAACATACTGAATTTTGTAAATTGCTTTGTAATGTTTTCCCTTGCTAGGATAAAGAGAAAAATTGGCTATCACATATTGCTTCTGCATTATCAAATCAAACCTAGGTACCATGATTGTAGTTTAGAAAACTAACTCTGAAAATAAAGACAATTTGTAATAGGCCTGCGTTCAAATCATTGCTCCACCACTATGACTTTGAGCACATAGCTCAACGTCGTTGAGCCTGAGTTTCTGCCTTAGTAAAACTGACTTATTAATATAGACTTCAACCAATGGTTATGAAAATAAATGTAAATGGAATCATATCTTTAATGCACATAGTAAAGTGCCTGATATACAATTGGCAATTCATAAATGACAACAATAAGCAATAATGACTTCTAAAACTCTTTAAATGGTGCTTGCTCATACTAAGTACCATATAAGTATTTGCTACTATTATTAATATTCCTGTATTGAAATTGGGGTTTCTTTCTTTTTCCTGCCTCCCAGTATATTGGGATCTCATTCAGGGGTTGTTCTGAGGGCTGGAAGGAAGGGATTAACACAATATTTCCAATGCTGCCTTGGCCTGGGCTCCACTTCCTCCGCAATTGAAAGACAGAATAAGCTACTAGAGTTATTGGGTAGACTTTTGGGCTCCCCATGCCTTTACCTTTTAGTCTTATTTTGCTTATTCTGGATACAACTCTTCCCTGTAAAGCAGCTACGACCTACCACCCAACTTCCTTATAGTTATAAGGAAGCCCCATGTAGCTAGAGAAAATTCAACATGAAATCCAGAGTCCAAGTAACTCTATTTTTGCTGATGTTTAAAGATAATTTCAACTGTGTTCTTCCCACATTCCTCAGTGAGGTGACTGTAGACCAGCTCCTGATTTGGTTAATAGCATGCTGTTTCCTTAAATTCCCACTGTAGGTTCAATGAGAGAATTTCATTCTATTTCCATTTTCTCCTTCTTCCCACTTCCACCCTGATGACATATTCAGAAATCTATGCAAATTCAACCAACAAATATCTGCAGATATATATGTACATCTACCCTTATATCCACACCCACATATACCAACACATGAATACACAAACTAAAATGCACATATGCCCACATACACATTCCCACGCAAATAGTCACACAAATGCATATGCTTGTGCAGAAACACCCACATGCAGACTGATGAATACACTTGCCTATGCGTATGTGCATACATAAAGGTGAATATTCACATACATATGCATGTATCCTCACTGACTCTGGTCTGGGACATGGCAGAGACTTAAGGTGTTCCACTTCCTGTGCTTCGTTTTCTTGTATCCCGTGATTACTAGTTTCTAAAGGAGAGCAGGTAGTATCTTGCAACAACTCAAGTTGGAAGGAAAACGTGTCTGTTTTTTGAGTTAAGTTGGGCCAGTCCTGAGGTCTGAATGATTGTGCAATGTGTTGTGGAAAGCACATAACTTGTTTGATTTCACTGGCCCACAGCTGGAGCAGAATTTGCTCTCAGAATGAGTTGTACCTTGAGTCTCACCCACACCTGATTTAGATGAGACTTTGAACTTTAAATTTTGAGTTGATGCTAGAACAAGTGAATACTTTTGATGCTATTGGGATGGAATTAATATAGTTTGCATATGAGAAGGACATAAATTTTGGGAGGCCATGGGCAGAGTACTATGATTTAAATGTTTCTCCTCAAAATTTATTTGTTGAAATCTAACCCTAAAGTGATGGTATTAAAAGGTGGGGCCTTTGTGTGGCGACAAGGTTATAAGGGATCTGCCTCATGAATAGAATTAGCGCCTTTATAAAGAAGGCCTGTGGGAGCTTGCTTGCCTCTTCCACGATGTGAGAAAGCTACAAGGGGTCTCCATCTGTGAGTAACAAGCCCTTACCAGACACCGAATCTCCTGGTATCCTGATTGTGGACTTTCCAGCCTCTAGAACTGTGAGCAATAAACACTTTTGTGTATAAATTACCTAGTCTAAGCCATTTTGTTATAGCAGCCTGAAGAGACTAAGGCACAGAGATATTGAATCCATTATCATGGTGTGGGATAAGGGAGGTGGCTGAAGAGTTGATTGAGTCTGCTTTCCCTCATTTTTATGCCAGGGTAAGATGAAAATCAGACCAAATTTAGTTACATGGTGTAGTCACGGGGCCTAAGATCATTTTGCTTCCAAGAGTCTTAATTTGATAGAAAACTTTGAAAGAGCATTGTGTTATTTCCCTATGCGATAATCCCCCTGGCCATTTCTATCCATTGCAAAATGCGATGTAAGCAATTAATTGTAAGTTTTGGAGCAATCAAAGCTTAATGTTTGAAGCCATATTTGTGCTTAGAAGTCGTTTTTTTCCACTGAACATTCCATCTAATCATTACCTTAGCTCTATGAGATAGAGACTATTATTGCAATTACACAAATCTGAGGCTCAAATATGAAACTCAGAGACTATTGGCCCCTAGAAGGTCAAAGAGATGGTAATCATTTGAGGAGGTAATCTAGGCCTTCTTTCTGACTCCAAATCCAATGTCATTGTCACTACTCCAAATGATTTTGGGTGACCCTCTTTCTGCATGTTCAGGAAGAGACTCTCCTCACCTTTGAAGTTGGGCAATATTACTAGCCCCACTCTGCAACATAAAAGAGAACCTGATATTTTGTTTGAAATGATTCAATCCCGGACCTCTTCAAGGAGAACAACAAACCACTGCTCAATGAAATCAAAGAGGATACAAACAAATGGAAGAACATTCTATGCTCATGGGTAGGAAGAATCAATATCGTGAAAATGGCCATACTGCCCAAGGTAATTTATACATTCAATGCCATCCCCATCAAGCTACCAATGACTTTCTTCACAGAATTGGAAAAAACTACTTTAAAGTTCATATGGAACAAAAAAAGAGCCCACATTGTCAAGTCAATCCTAAGCCAAAAGAACAAAGCTGGAGGCATCATGCTACGTAACTTCAAACTATACTACAAGGCTACAGTAACCAAAGCAGCATGGTCCTGGTACCAAAACAGAGATATAGAACAATGGAACAGAATAGAACCCTCAGAAATAATACCACACATCTACAACTATCTGATCTTTGACAAACCTGACAAAAAGAAGAAATGGGGAAACGATTCCCTATTTAATAAATGGTGCTGGGAAAACTGGCTAGCCATATGTAGAAAGCTGAAACTGGATCCCTTCCTTACACCTTATACAAAAATTAATCAAGATGGATTAAGGACTTAAATGTTAGACCTAAAACCATAAAAACCCTAGAAGAAAACCTAGGCAATACCATTCAGGACATAGGCATGGGCAAGGACTTCATGTCTAAAACACCAAAAGCAATGGCAACAAAAGCCAAAATTGACAAATGGGATCTAATTAAACTAAAGAGCTTCTGCACAGCAAAAGAAATTACCGTCAGAGTGAACAGGCAACCTACAGAATGGGAGGAAATTTTTGCAACCTACTCATCTGACAAAGGGCTAATATCCAGAATCTACAATGAACTCAAACAAATTTACAAGAAAAAAACAAACAACCCCATCAACAAGTGGGTGAAGGATATGAACAGACGCTTCTCAAAAGAAGACATTTATGCAGCCAAAAGACACATGAAAAAATGTTCATCATCACTGGCCATCAGAGAAATGCAAATCAAAACCACAACGACATACCATCTCACACCAGTTAAAATGGCCATCATCAAAAAGTCAGGAAACAACAGGTACTGGAGAGGATGTGGAGAAATAGGAACACTTTTACACTGTTGGTGGGACTGTAAACTAGTTCAACCATTGTGGAAGTCAGTGTGGTGATTTCTCGGGGATCTAGAACTAGAAATACCATTTGGCCCAGCAATCCCATTACTGGGTATATACCCAAAGGACTATAAATCATGCTGCTATAAAGACACATGCACAGGTATGTTTATTGCGGCATTATTCACAATAGCAAAGACTTGGAACCAAGCCAAATGTCCAGCAATGATAGACTGGATTAAGAAAATATGGCACATATACACCATGCAATACTATGCAGCCATAAAAAAAGATGAGTTCATGACCTTGGTAGGGACATGGATGAAGCTGGAAACCATCATTCTCAGCAAACTGTCACAAGGACAAAAAACCAAACACCACATGTTCTCACTCATAGGTGGGAAGTGAACAATGAGAAGACTTGGACACAGGAAGGGGAACATCACACACTAGGGCCTGTGGTGGGGTGGTGGGAGCAGGGAGGGATAGCATTAGGAGATATACCTCATGTTAAATGACGAGTTACTGGGTGCAGCACACCAAAATGGCTCATGTATACATATGTAACTAACCTGCATATTGTGCCCATGTACCCCAAAACTTAAAGTATAATAATAAAAAAAAAAGATATGGGCCAAAGAATGAGGATTTCTGTTAAAAAAAAAAAAAAAGAAATGGTTCAATCCCACACCTAAATTCAGACTGGACCTTAAGCTCTGTTACAGCTATTTTCACATTTTTGTTTTGTTTTGTTTTATATTAAAAAATACTACAGAGTCCCTGATACCTTAGCCTTTATTGCTATTTTGAAAAGGCGTTTTCAGTAATATTTGTGAAACATGGCCCAGATGGGCAAAATTAAAGGCCTTCACTTATTGCCAGTGACCTCAAAAACAATTTACCTAAGATAAACTGTCTATTATTTCCTTTATTATTATTATGATGATGATGATGCTTTAAGTTCTAGGGTACATGTGCAGAACGTACAGGTTTGTTACATAGGTATACACATGCCATGGTAGTTTGCTGCAACCATCAACCCGTCATCTACATTAGGTATTTCTCCTAATGCTATCCCTCCCCTAGGCCCTCAACCCCTGACAGGCCCCGGTGTGTGATGTTCCCTCCCTGTGTCCATGGGTTCTCATTGTTCAACTCCCACTTATGAGTGACAACATGCAGTGTTTGGTTTTCTGTTCTTATGTTAGTTTGCTGAGAACGATGTTTTTCCAGCTTCATCCATGTCCCTGCAAAGGACATGAACTCATCCTTTTTTATGGCTGCATAGTATTCCACGGTGTATATGTGCCACATTTTCTTTATCCAGTCTATCATTGATGGAAAGAAACCATCATCAGAGTGAACAGGCAATCTACAGAATGGGAGAAAATTTTTTCAATCTATCCATCTGACAAAGGGCTAATATCCAGAATCTATAAAGAACTTAAACAAATTTACAAGAAAAAAACAAACCCATCAAAAAGTGGGCAAAGGATATGAACAGATAACTTCTCAAAAGAAGACATTTATGCGGCCAACAAACACATGAAAAAAAAAGTTCATCATCACTGGCCTTTGGAGAAATGCAAACCAAAACCACAATGAGATACCATCTCACACCAGTTAGAATGGCAATCATTAAAAAGTCAGGAAACAGCAGATGCTGGAGAGGATGTGGAGAAATAGAAACGCTTTTAGACTGTTGGTGGGACTGTAAACTAGTTCAACCATTGTGGAAGAGAGTGTGGCGATTCCTCAAGGATCTAGAACCAGAAATATTATTTGACCCAGCAATCCCATTACTGGGTATGTACCCAAAGGATTATAAGTCATTCTTCTATAAAAATACATGCACATGTATGTTTATTGCAGCACTGTTCACAATAGCAAAGACTTGGAAACAACCCAAATGCCCAACAGTGATAGACTGGATAAAGAAAATGTGGCACATATACACCACGGAATACTATGCAGCTGTAAAAAAGGATGAGTTCATGTCCTTTGCAGGGACATGGATGAAGCTGTAAGCCATTATTCTCAACAAACTGTCACGGGAACAGAAAACCAAACACTGCATGTTGTCACTCATAAGTGGGAGTTGAACAATGAGAACACATGGACACAGGGAGGGCAATGTTACACACCGGGGCCTGTCAGGGGTTGGGGGGTAGGGGAGGGATAGCATTAGGAGAAATACCTAGATGATGGGTTGATGGGTGCAGCAAAACACCATTGCACGTGTATACCTATGTAACAAACCTGCACATTCTGCACATGTATCCCAGAACTTAAAGTATTTAAAAAAAAAAAAAAGATTTCTATTTCTTTTAGAAGCAGAAGTGACCATAGGCAAGCCCACTAAGCTGTCTACATTAATAAGGTTGTGTCAGTGGTTCATGTTCAGGAGGTGATTTACTGTAACATGCTCACTTTAAGGATCCTACGGACCTACTATTAATAGATCAGTAGCTTCCAATCAGGGATGATTTTCTCCCAGGAGACATTTGGCCATGTCTGGACACATTTTTTGTTATCACAGTGGGGGTAGTGGTGGGTAATGTGCTTCTGACATCTAGTGGGTAGCAATCAGGGATGCTTCTAAACATTTTACAATACATAGCATAACCCTCCACAACAAAGAATTATCCTACAATACATAGCAGGACCCTCCACAACAAAGAATTATCCTGCACTAATTGCCAATAGTACTGAGGTTAAGAAACCCTGCAAAAGAGTGATTGAAGAGTCCTAGTTTTACAGTCAGGCAGAACCAGGTTTGGTCCCTAATTCCAGCACTGACTAGCTGTGAACTTAACCTCTCTAGGTATAACTTTACTCAAGTAAAATTAGTATAATAACACCGAGTCTTCCAAATTGTTTGAAGTCACACACAAACACACACACACACACACACACACAGAGAGAGAGAGAGAGAGAGAGAGTTTCCTGGCTCAGATCTTCCATTAGTCTGATTGCTTGCAGAGCTGGCTTTCTATTCTTAAATTATGCCAATGTATTACCCTTGAATCGCTCATAATTCTTTCTTCAAGATCTCTTATCTCTGGCTTTATAAGTATGAACTCTGAGCCCAGCTCTGTACTAGGTAGTGCTGGGAAAAATCAGACACTCGTCCACTAGGAAGCTACTGCCTTCAGAGGACCATTGTTCAGAAAAATCATTGAACAGTGGTTCAATGAGAAAGGCAGTAACTCAAAAAGGACTAACACAGAGACTTTGGAAGAGAGGGAGTCTCCTACTCCACCCTCTAACCTACAGACTACACTAACTCCGAGTGATGTGATGTGAGGATACACCGATAAATAATGAGACTGAGCTTTTTCCAGATCCTTAATCATATTCTGACACCCAATATTTGTCATGTATGTTTCCTGAAACTTCTTGCTATAACTTTGTAATATGTGTGCTTTCAACGTGGTAGATTGTTTATAATTCATCCAGTATACTAGATGATGTTCCCTTTGATTGGAAAGTTTATGTCTAACTGATCTGAGGACAGCACTAATCCAAAGAAAGCATTTTTGAAATGATATAATTAACCAGTGATAAATAAATGTTAAATAAATATTTTCAAACCATTAGAATATTTCTAAACTTGACATTTGGCACTATTAGAAGAGTGTAAGTAAACTGAGGATTCTGTATACTACGTGTCAATGTAGCCGTGGCACATTCATGCCATTAAATGTCTTTCTCTACTCACTAGCAAATTGTTTTGTGTTAATCAAGCGAGAGTTGTGGTTTTATGCCAGGTTGTCCATGGCTTTTGTCATTCTCCTTATTTCCTAATATATTCTTATCCAGTTATTTAGATCCAGATCTGATGCTGATATATATGAATTCAAACTGGTCACCTATTCAAGGCTTACATGATATTTTAATATCATTGTTTATGCTTTGCAATTGGTTAATGCTCACGTTTTAATCGTCACGTTTTAAAAGATAAGTGCAATTAACCTTAATTACATGTTTCTAGTTTGTGTTTTCTAATTTACATGCAGAAATGTGTGATATTCATAACTTTAGAAGTTTGAGTCTTCTACAATAGACTTTCTCAAACTTTTTGTGCACAGGAATCAGCTGGGGATGTTGCAGATAATGCAAGATTCTCATTCAATAGCTCTGAGGTGGGACCAGAGTTTCCACATTTCTAACAAGATCCACAGTGATGCTAACCTTCCTTTTCCAAGAACCATATTTTGAATAGCAAGGTCCTAAATAGACCTGCCTCGAAATATGTTTTATAAATGTTTGTGGCTTTTCATGGAAAGAAAATATCTTCTGGTGTAAATCTTATATTCAATGGTATGTCCTGCATAACCTGAAATTTATTTACTCTGCATCATTGTCTCCCTAGGAGAGCTTTATGAAGCAAAATTTCCAAGAAGTGTTATTAATAAGAATTCTTAAAAAAAGTGTTTTGTGGTGAAACGAATATGTGGCATGATAGTAAACAAAGTAAAAAGAGATTTTTTTCTTTTAAAGACATATGATTAAAAAAAAGATGTTTCTTTAAGAATTTTTGGAATCTTAGACATGTTAATGCCTTGTGAATGATAATAAAAAATGTGTCCTTCCTGGAGAATCATTTGGAAATGCTATTCCAGAAAACACACAGATCCAGGAGTCTCTTATGTCTCTCCACCAAAAATCCTCTCTCCCACTTCTGGCCCAATCTGGATCTAGAAATTGCCCATTTTCAATTTTGCTGAGGCTTACATTTAACACTTTTGTGTCTACATGTGTATTTATAAACCTGGGTGCAACTTGTCTTTCTTTTCAAACACTGCTAAACTTATTGGTTGGCTGTCTCCAGGATAATTGAATTTGAGAATTGAATTTGCAATTTGTAATAGAAAATAGTAACATCATATGACTGCAAATAAGAACTCGCCAATACATCACAAGAGATTTGTTTAGTGTTTTGTGGGGAGAAATGATTATTTATCCTCACATCCAGGCTTTTCGGACATTACTCTATAAAGTCAGTTTCAGGCCCTTCTATTTAGTAGCCCTGGCTGTTCTACTGCCTTCACTGCCCTCTTCAGGAATGCTGAATCAAGATTATCCTAGGTGATGGTAAATGCACCTGAGAGGCAATATCTTAGGCATACCCTAAGAATGGCCCTGTATGGCAGATGCACCTGAATGTGTGCTCTAGAGCTAGGGAATCCAGGAGTGGCTAAACTAGAGATTCATTCCTGTCTATGAGAAACATCTGAGCCCCCGGCCTGACCCACAGAACATGGGAGATACAGAGGATCGAGGTCCTGAGTTTTGGGTTGAATGAATGTTGCCAAATGGAGGTGGTCAGGGAAAGGGTTCTAAGTAAAAATACTGTATAGATTGCATGCCTTTCCAAGTGGTGGCAGTTCTCCTGTTCATCCCACCACCACTGGACCCTCTCCCCTGTGTGTAACCTCAATGAAGCCCCAGGTCTCGTTTGCTGGCTCTGGGTCTCTTCTTCAGACCCTTGAATCTGGTGCCCTCCCCACTGAAGTCGGTAGAAGTTTGGCATAGCACTTAGTCTCCACAGTGATAGGGTTGTCATTATACTGACCAATTTTTCAGAAATCCTACAGTAGAGCTGCAGAGTGGACCCTCATTGGCTTTTTTTTTCTTTTCTAAAGCCTGGGTAGATTTATAAGTACTCCTAACAGAGGTTGCAGCAATGACTCCCTTTTTTGAGCTTTATTTAGTATTAGTGACAAAAATTGTAAACATTTAAATGTACAGCATGATGATTTGATAACACATACGTATTGTGAAATGATAACCACATCAAGCTAATTAACATGTCTATTATGTCACATAGTTACCATTTGTCTGTGGGAGTGTGGGGATAAGGACACTTGAAATCTACTTTTTTAGCAAATTTCAAGTATACAATAGAGTATTATTAACTCTAGTCATCATGCTTTACATTAAGTCTCTAGAACTTAGTCGTCTTATAACTGAAAGTTTGGAGACCCTTAACCAACCACTCCCCATCTGCCCCAACCTCCAGCACCTGGCAATAACCATTCTATCCCATGTTCCTATGAGTTTGACTATTTTAGGTTCTACATATAAGTGAGATTATGCAGCGTTTGTTTTTCTGTCTGGCTTATTTCACTTAGCATAATGTCATTCAGGTTCATCCATGTTTTCAGACATGGTAGATTCCTTTTTTATGGCTGAGTAATGGCTAAGTGTCCATTGATGGATGCTTAGATTGTTTTCATATCTTGGCTATTTTGAATAATGCTGCAGTGTACATGGGGGTGCAGATATCTCTTGGGGATGGTCATTTTCTTTCTTTTTGGGGGGGATATATAGCCAGTATTAGGATTTCTGGATGATTTTGTAGTTCTATTTTTAATTTTTTGTTGAATCTCTATACTGTACTAATTTACATCCTTACCGAATATATAAGGGTCCTGTTTTCTTTACATCTTTGACAACACTAATGTTTTGACTTTTTGATAATGACTTTCTCTTGTGTCAAGCTCTACTTGAATCTGATCCTTACCCTATGAAAATAAAACAAGAGTGGTGGATTTGGCTCATTTCAACCAGATAATTTATATTTCTAAATAATATGGAATTACCTGTAGTTTATAGATATGAGCATAAGTTGTACAAGGAAAGAAAAGCTATAAAATAGAGTGATAAGAGCTTGAATGGGTATAAGATCTAGAAGTAGCTCCCTAATAGAATAAAAACTAAGAGCCATCAACTATCAACTCCAATCCTGTGTCTACATCTTTTTAACAACTAAGAAAATGTTGAGTCAGACTGTGCGGAAAGCAAGATAAGTAGTACCCTGCATTTTTGTTACATTTTCATTTGTTTTCAAGTCAACAAAGAAAGGTTAAAGAAGCAAAAGGCCTTCAGTTGAATTATTTAAAAAATATTTTGAAATATTATGCGCTGCACATTTACCCGAAACCTTAAAAGAGTTGGTGGGCATCTTTAGAGATGACACAATTAAAGAAGAGCTAATCCCATTTCCCCTGAACAAGACAAATGAACAGAGCAATAAAGATCCAATGTGGCTGTGTAAACATCCAATCAATGATCCACTTGTTAAGCTAAATCTGACCTGGAAATAGAGAAGTGGAGAGAAACTCAGATAAGAATAATGTGCATCATTATTTTGGCTTTAGAAGAAAAAGATAAGTCTTGTGAAAGGGTATTGAAGCAAATGAGCACAGAGATGAATGTGTTGAGGAGAGAAAAAGAAGGAAAGAGTAAGAAAGGAGAGAAAAAGTGACAGAAGCTCATTAATAAACAGGAAAGAAAAACAGAGTAGATTTACCAGTTATCTGAAATAGGGAGCTTAAATTTTAATTCATCTCTCCTGACAAATAACAAATCAAAGAAAAAAAGAAGACTTTGGGTGTTTGTGTGTGTTGTAATGATGATCTCATAAGCAAACACTCTTCTAAGTAAGAAACAGAAAATGGAAAGTGCATATTGCAAGTCAGTCCATATTAGAAATGTGAAACCACTTCTGGTCAAACCAGAGAACACCCATTTCCAGGCAGGGACATTTTTTAGAAGAAGCATGGAAATGAAAGGCATGCATTTGGGTTCTTAGGTACAGAACTGGATGTTGAACTACTCATTTTATTGTGTTTGTATAAGTAGATTTAATTTTTTTTACTAAATATTAAAATACCTTTAATCAATTGGACAAGAATACCTTTTTTATGAACACACTTCCACATATAAAAACAGAGAGCAATAAGATTATTATGTTTGATGAACAAAGATTAATAAATACTAAACTATTGCTACATTAGCTTCAGAAGTCTTTTTTGTTATTAACGACTTAAGTACATCTGTAACTGAAATCTCACATCATCCTTTTTTGTCCCTCCATTTCCAGAAAGGGAATATTTTCTCTCAGGATTCTGTGTACTTACTACATTTGTAGGCAACTATAAACAGTATATATTATTGTTTCTGAGTGTTTTAACATTTCAAATATATGGTACCTTACTGTAAGTATACTTTGCAATATTTGCTTCCTTCTTGTGGTATTATATTTTTGAGGCTTATTCATATTGATATTTTTAAATCTAGCTAATTCATTTTAACAGACACATAGTGTCCCACTGAATTAAACATAAAGTTTATTTGTCTTAATAATGGATAGTAAAATTGTTTTCATGCTTTTGCTATTACAATCTGTGCCAAAATGAATATCTTCTGAACTATCCCTTTGAATACATTTGTGAAATTTTTCTAAGATCGATTTATAGAAAGTGCTGATAAAAAATTATATATTGCTTTAGCTTTTCAACTGAGTCTTTACATTTAGTTTTTTAATCAATAGATTTATGTGTATAGCACAGAAATCTATTTCATTAATTGTTTTCTATAAACAGCTAATTGTTGCAGAACCTTATACTAAACTTTTTCCTGTTAAATTTACTACCATTGCATATACACCAAATTTCTATGAATGTAGGTCTGATTCATGTTTCTTTTTCTTTATAATTATTTTTCTTGTCTATACCTATGCTAAAATCAAATGGTTTTAATTAATTTAACTCTGTGGTTCTCAATGGAGGACATTTTACCCTCCAGAGGGCATTTGGCAATGTCTGGAGACATTTCGATCATCACACCTGTAGGGGCAGTGGCCAGGGACACTGTTGAATATTCCATTAATACAATGCAAAGGAGAGTCCCATTCTACCATCTTTCATTTTCTTTTCTTTTTTTTTTTTTTTTTTAAGAAACAAGATCTTGCTCTATCACCCAGGCTGGAGTGCAGTGGCACAATCATAGCTTACTGCAGCCTCCAATTCTTTAGCTCCAACAATTCTCCTGTCTCAGCTTCCCAAGTAGCTGGGACTACAGTTGTATGACACACAATCGGCTAATTTTTTATTTTTATTTTTAAGTTACAAGGGTCTTGCCATGAGGCTTAGGCTGGTCTCGAACTCCTGGCCACTAGTGATCCTTCTGCCTTGGCCTCTAAAAGTGCAGGAATTATAGGTGTGAGCCACCGTGCCTGGCCTCAAACATGTTTTTGTTCAGAGTTATATTGACTGTACTAGGTTTTTTATTATTCCATACGAATTTTAGAGTTAAGCTCTTAAAATCCAAGAAAACAAAATCTTTCAACATTTTAATTGAATTAACATTTAACTTATAGATTAATACGACAAGAATTGATGATTCATTATATTGATTCTTCTCATTTATTAAGGGATAAATCTACATTTGTTTTGAAATTGGAAAAGCTTCTTTAATTAAATTTGATATTTTTACTCTGAAAGATCATTCAAATTTTTGTTAAATATATTACAGGATGATTACCTGATTTCTTTCTTCTGTTTTATATGTAATTGATTAAATTGTTTTTCTGATTGTTTGCTGCTGCTATATAGTAATGTGATTAATTTTTATATATTGATATTTTCCATTATATATTAATCTAACATTTTTTCCCAAATTCTCACAGTATATCTAAATATTTTTTATGGATTCCCTGAGATTTTACTTTGTTGACATACCTCTATCTGAGAAAAACGAGAAGATTTTAACTTTTTCCCAAATGTTACATATTTTATTGAAATTTTTTCTTCTGCATTAGTGGCTAGGCCCCTCACTACAATGTGATGATAGAGGAAATGGCTGAACTCAGCATTAAAGAGTAAAATTTTCTGTAGGATTTTAGTAGATATATTTACCACATTCACTGAATGTCCTTTAATTTCAAGGTATTAAAATATTGAATAAAATATATAAAAATAGATTATTTTTCAGTGTGTTGAATTCAGATTTTAGACTTGATTTCAGATCCCACACGCACAGAATGGAGACAATCATACTGCTTAGTTCCTAATTACTAGATTGATTGCCCTTATCATCAGACCATGTATAACACCTCTAATGTTTCATGTCATGTTTTTTCTTTTTGTGCCCAATTGCCTTTGTATTGTTCCTTCTAGACATGCACTTTATTTTCAACAATCTATACCGTTTTAATTCATTCTGTATACACACTTATGTGCATAGATGTGTTCAGTGTTATATGCTGCATGTTTAACTTATGTAAATATTAATTGTTATTCCATTCAATTTCTTATTTCACTAACATTTTGAAATGCTGCTACATTGCTCTATGAAAATGTAGCTCTTTACTTCTCATTGCTAAATAGTAATCTTTGGCATATGTGATGATTAATTTTATGTGTCAACTTGGTTAAACAATGGTGACCAATTGTTTGGTCAAATACTAGCCTTGATGTTGCTGCAAAACTATTTTTTAATGTGTGACTAACATTCACATCGGTTGGTTTTAAGTAAAACAGATCACTCTCCATGACATGGATGGACCGCATCTGATCTGTTGAAGAGCAAAGACAGATGTTTCCCAAAGAAGGAATTCTGCCTCAAGTCTACAATAGAAATTTTGCTTGAATCTAGTTTTTACACTCAAGTATGCAAGATCAACACTTACTTGAATCTCCAGCTTCTGCCTTGTCCTGTGGGATTTGGACTTGCCAGCTCCCACAACTGTATGAGCCAATGTCTTAGAATTTATCTCTTTCATTTTATCTGCCTCTCTCACTCTCTTTTCATCTATCATCTATCTATCTATCCATCTATCTATCATCTACCTATATCTATATCTATCTATATCATCCATCATCTCTATCATCTATCTAATCTATCTATCTATCTATCTATCTATCTATCTATCTATCTATCTAATCAATCATCTATCTACCTATCTATATCTAAATCCTACCGGTTCTGTTTCTCTAGAGAACCCTAATACAGAATTTATAACTTTTTCCTTATATATTTTCCTAGTTAATGGACCCATTAATAGTCTATAATTTCTTGCTACTACCAACAATGTTGCTTGGGATAATTTTGTAACTTGTTTCGTATAAACTGTATAGCTCTATTTACCCAGATTTGATACAGCATGCACATGTATACTTAATTTCATTCCAAAATGCTAGACTATTTTGTAAAACCCTGGCTTCATGTCTCACTCCCACCAGCAGGAGTTTCTCCATGGCCACAATAACATATATATTATTGAATTTTTCATTTTTACATGTTTGATATAAAGTCGTATCTCCTAAAACCTTTCTTCTATGGAGGGAAAGCCTTGGAATCCTATTTAAGTATACTAAAAATCGAGTCTAGTTGATTTTCATTTTTCTTCTTCATAATCCGGTTGTTAATTTATTTTCAGAAATTAATTCATGTCATATGCATTCAATCATGTATATTTCATAGTACCTTTCCAAGACTTTAAAAACTTTTGTTGATTTTATCATTATAGCTACTCTAATCTTTCTTTTCTCTTAATCATACTTGTCAGAAGTTTGTCTATCTTGTCTTTGTAAACCAAGCTGTAGTTTTATTTTTACATTTTTTGATTTCTTTCTCTATTCTGTTCATTTTTGATTACATGTTCATCATTTGTGTCTGGTTCTTTTTTTAAATTTACTCATTTCTATTTCTTCCATCTTGAGTTGAATTCTTGGCTCCTTTGTTTCAGAACTGATTTGTTTTCTGATAAGGGTAGCTAGGGCCACTGATTTCCTTCAAGTACTATTTTGTTAGCAACCCACTCATTTTAACCTTCAGGGTTTTCATTGTGATTCTATGATTCAATTTTAAGTATGTGCTAATTGTGCTTAGGAGTTTTAAAAAAATTTCATTACAATGAATATTTAATAACATTTATTTTGACTTTAGATATATATTAAAATTTTTATTTTTAGTAAATTTGTACTGGAGTAAATATACATATAAATTTGCACAAATCTTAAATCCAAAATGATAATGAAATTGCAGGGTTTCTAAAATATGCAATAGTGAAATGTACGACAGCCATAGAACAAAGTTCTGGAGGGGAGAAATGGAAGTATGTTTTTGTAGGATTCTTATACTGTATGAGAAGTTATGTAGTACCACTTGAACTTACACTCTTACAAGTTAAAGATATATAAGTAAAGATACGTGAACTCTAAAGCAACCACTAATGTAATAACACAAGTTATCATGACTAATAAGTCAAAAAAGATATAACCATAAACTAATATTCAATTAAAATTCAGAAAGAGAGAAGCAGAATAACAGATGGAACATTTTTTTAAATTTCAGTGTTTATGTTAGATATAGAGGGTTCATGGGCATGATTGTTACATGGGTGTATTGCATGATGATGAGGTTGTGGAATGGATCTTGTCACCCAGGGAGTGAGCAGAGGACCCAATAGGTAGTTTTTCTAACCATGCTCTCCTCTTCTTTCCCCCCTTCTAGTAGTCCACAGCGTCTATGTTCCCATGTTTATGTCCAGGTGTGCTCAATGTTTAGCTCCCACTTAAAAGTGAGAACAGGTGGTATTTGGTCTTTTGTTCCTGTATTAATTCACTTAGGATTATGGCATCCAGTTGCATCTATGCTGCTGCAAAGGACATGATTTCAATCTTTCTATAGCTGCACAGTGTTCCATGGTGTATATGTATCATATTTTCCTCCTTCAGTCAATCACTGATGGACACCTAGGTTGATTCCGTGTCATTGCTATTGTGAATAGCACAGTGATGAACATACAAGTGTGAGTGTCCTTTTGGTAGAATAGGATAATTTATTTTCCTGTGGATATATACACAGTAATGGGATTGCCAAGTCGAATGGTACCTCTATTTTAAGCTCTTTGAGAAATCTCCCAACTGCTTTCTATAGTGGTTGAACTAATTTCCATCCTTACCAACAGTTTATAAGTGTTCCCTTTTCTCTGCAGCCTCACCAGATTCTGTTGTTTTTTGACTTTTTAATAATAGCTATTCTGATTATTATTATTTTGACTTTTTAATAGAAGCCATTCTGAATTTTATTAATAGCCAGACTGGTGTGAGATGGTAACTCATTGTGGTTTTTGATTGATTGGCATTTTCCTGATAATTAGTGATGAGGAGCATTTTTTCAAATGTTTGTTGGCTGCTTGTCCATCTTCTTTTTTTAGCCAGAGTGATCCAGCAAGAAAAAGAAATAAAAGGCATCCAAATAGGAAGAGCAGAAATCAAACTATTTCTTTTTGCTGATTATATAATTCTATACCCAGAAAACCCTAAAGACTCTTCCAAAAGGCTCCTAGAACTAATAAACGACTTCGGTAAAGTTTCCAGATACAAAATCAGTGTACAAAAATCAGTAGCATTTCTAAACACCAATAATGTCTAGGCTGAAAGTCAAATCAAGAACACAACCCTTGTCCAGCCACAGTGGCTCACACCTGTAATCCCAGTTCTTTGGGAGGCCGAGGTGGGTGGATTGCTTGAGCTCAGGAGTTTGAGAACAGCCTGGCCAACATGGTGAAACCCTGTCTCTACAAAAGGTACAAAATTGAGCTGGGCATAGTGGCATGTACCTGTAGTCCCGGCTACTTGGGAGGCTGAGGTGGGAGGATTGCTTCAGACCAGGAGGCAGAGGTTGCCGTGAGCCAATATCACACCACTGCACTCCAGCCTGACATGAGATGCTGTCAAAAAAAAAAAAAAAAATCCAAATACAGCTTACCAAGAAGATGAAAGATCTCTACAAGAACTACAAAACACTGCTAAAAGAAATCAGAGACTACACAAATAAAAGGAAAAAATATACCTTGCTTGTGGATAGGAAGAATCAATATAGTTAAAATGGCCATACTGCCCAAAGCAATTTATAGATTTAACACTGTTCCTATCACACTACCAATGTCATTTTTCACAGAATTGGAAAAATATCTAAAAATTACATGCAACCAAAAAAGAGCCAAAATAGCCAAAGCAATTGTAAACAAAAAGAACAAAGCTGGAGGCATCATACTACCCCACTTCAAACGATAAAACTATAGTAACCAAAACAGCATGGTGTAGCACAAAAACAGGCACATAGACCAATGGAACAGAAAAGAACAATCAGAAATAAAGCTGCACACCTATAACAATCTGATCTTCAAAAAGGCCAGCAAAAACACACAATGGGGAGAGAACTCCTTATTCAATGACTTATGCTTGCATAATTGACTATATGCAGAATGAAACTGGACCCTTACCTTTCACTATATACAAAAATTAACTGAAAATAGATTAAAGATTTAAATGTGAGACCTCAAACTCTAAAAATTCTTTAAAAATCTAGGAAATATTCTTTTTAACATGGGTCTTGGCAAAGAATTTTTGGCTGAGTCCCCAAAAGCAATTGCAACAATACAAAAAATTGACAAGTTGGACCTAATTAAATTAAATAACTTCTCAGCAGATGAAACTATCAACAGGGTAAATAGATAACCTACAGGATGGGAGAAAATATTTCAAAAACTATGCATCTGACAAAGTTCGAACATCCAGAATCTATAAGGTATTTAAACAAATCAACAAGAAAGAAACAACCTCATTTAAAAAATGGGCAAAGGATACAAATTTTTTTACAAGTAGCAAGATACCAGTTTTAATTACAGTTATATCAATAATCACATTAAGTGTCAATTATCTAAGCACTTAATTAAAAAGTAGAGATAGTTAGATTGGATAAGATATCATGACCTTACTAGATATTGCCAATAAGAAGCATGTTTTAAATATAAATAAGCAAATAGATGAAAAGTAAAGTAATCAAACAATGAAATAATTTGTATGCTACTAACACTGACTAAAAGAAAATAAGAGTGACAAAAAAATTTTTTTTTTTTTTTGAGACAGAGTTTTGCTCTTGTCCAGGCTGGAGTGCAGCAGCGTGATCTCGGCTCACTGCAAACTCTGTCTGCTGCTTTCAAGTGATTCTCCTGCCTCAGCCTCTGCAGTAGCTGGGATTACAGGCACCTGCCACCACACACAACTAATTTTTGTATTTTTAGTAGAGACGGGGTTTCACCATGTCGACCAGGCTGGTCTGGAACTCCTGATCTTGTGATCCACCCGCCTCAGCCTCCCAAAGTGCTGGGATTACAAGCGTGAGCCACCGTGCCCAGCCAGGAGTGACTATATTAACAGCAGACAAAGTTGATTTCATGGAAACAATGTTACCATATATACAGTCATTTCATAATGATAAAATGGTTATGAAGAAGACATAGCAGGCCTAAACATGTGTACACTTAACAATAGAGCTTGAAAATATATAAGAAGCAAAACTGGATAGACTTATGAAAAGCAATAAATAAAAATTGCCCAAATCATGAGTGTGGAGCTCAATAAATTTTTACAATTTTCAGATCAATAAATATGATATTATTGGCATTCCAAAAGTTTCCCTTTGTGTCTCATCTTAGCAACTCTTTTTCTCAAATAACCACTCTCCTGACTTCTAATCCCACAGACAAGTGCCTTTGTTAAAATTAATATAAATCAGTTAATATGATCTTTTGCATCTCCTTTCACTCAACATTATATGAGATTAACCATGATGTCATGTACAGCTGCACTTTGTTACTATATAGAATTTTTTGAATTATTTTACTAAAATGTCTTTACATATTTTTTGGATCAACATTTGAATTGTTTTCTTGTGAGTGCTATTAGGAATTGGGCAGTCGTGAGCATTCTTATATTTGACTTTTGATGAACGTAAGTATTTATTTGTCTTGAGTATAATAGCAAAGAGTAGAACAGCTGAAAACTTAGGGTATGTGGGTACACATTTAGTAGAATATGCCAACATATTTATCAGGTGGTTGTGCCAGTTCATAGTTCCACTAGCTTCTTATCCTCACCAACACTTAACATTAGGTCCAGGAGTACAATGAGGCAGGTGAGGCAATGAAGGTAGAAAAATTTAAAAGGTACACACCCTCATTGACTTTTGAACCTAGCATAACTTGCATGAACTTAAGAGGGTGTCTCTCTAAAAATTAGGTGCTCGGACACAAAATTTAAGAAGGCACCCAGTTTGAGGTTTTTGTAGAACTCTGCATTTGAGCAAACTTGAGAGTAAGTGCCTTCTTAAATTCTATACCATAGACACACTTCGTTTATCTCACTCTACTCTCAGCCTTGTTTCATATAGTGTTTTTATTTTATTTTTTTATTTATCTAAGGGGATTGTAGTGTTTTTGCATTGTTATTTTTACTTACATTTCACTGATGATTAATGATGTTGAGAACATTTTAATGTATTGATTAACCATTTTGACATCCTCTTTTGTGAGTTGCCTTTTCAAATCTGTTGTCCAATTTTAATTGGATTAGCTGTGTTTCTTCTTCTTATTTAACATTCTTTGTATATATTCTTCATGAATCCTTTATTGGATTTCTGTATTGCAAGTACATTTCACTCTGACTTTCCATTCCATCCTCCAGTGGTTTCTAATAGTAAATAAAATATCTTAATTTTAGTAGAGCTTAACTTATAAATAAATATACACACACAAATATATGTGTGTGCATATATATATACATATATATATTTTTTTCTTTTTGGTTACTGCTTTTCTGTCCTACTTATGAAATCTTCTTTCTTATTTTCTTTTTGTATATGTAAAATCTATGATTATGTCTCTTTTACTACTCCTGATATGAGTATTTTTTTAACTCTTGGTTGAATTCTATGAATCTAATTAGTCTTTCCCAAATGTAAATTTGATTTTATTTATATTATTTTATTTTACATTTGTTTTTTATTCCATTAGTCTATCTTTTTATTATTTTCTTGTTTTAACTTTATTTGGGGTTAACTGATTATTCTTTCCTTAGCTTCTTGAGATGGTTACATAAGTTACTGTTTTTTGAGAATTTATTTTTTAAGTTATATTTATTTAAAATTATCTTTCCTTTAGGTAATTTCTCCTCTAAACAGGCTTAACAGATATATTTTGATAGGGCATTTTTTGGTCTTTTAGTTCAAAATATTTTCTAATTTCCAGGTTGATTTATTTCACCCCTGTCTTATTTACAAGTATATCTTAGTTTCCAAACGGCTGATAATTTACTTTTTGTTATTGATTTATAGCTTGATTCCACTGTAATCAGAGAACGTACTCTACATACAATCATTCCTTAGAAATTTGTTGAGCTCACTTAAAGGCCCAGTATATAATTATTAATGATAAGTGTCCTATGTCCAATGAAAAAATATGCTATTTTGCTATCATTGGGTATAGTGAGGTTCTATATGTGTTCATATACAAAGGCTCATAAATTACTGTAATTGCGAGTTTGTCTATTTCTCATTTTAATTTTTTAATTTTTACTTTACATATTTCAAAACCTTTTTTACTCTTTTCTTCCAGGTTCTAGAATGGAGAAGGATCAAAGCATTATTATACACATAAAACATTAGCAGTTTTATGATTTTTGTGGATTGACCCTTTTGTTATTATGTAACCCCTTTCTTTTTCTTTAGCAGTATTTTTTGTCTCAGAGTCTACTTTATTATTAATATATTTAAGTCAACTTTCTTTTGATTATTTGACAGCCTGAAATATCTATGTTATCCTCTCTATTCTAGGAGTTTTGATTTTTTTCATCTAGTTTATTTATGTCTTAACAGTGGCCTTCTTCCTGAATTGGCTCCAAAAGTTTGAAAATTCCCTGAAGGGTGGAGCAGTTACAGGACATGGGCATACCTCGCTACAGTTTCTTCTTTCTGGGATCTTAGTTACTTGATTCTAGGAAAACTCCTGACTGTTTCTGATGTCTTCAAACAGATTTCAAATTTCATCTTGATTTTGTAAGTTTTTCCTAATAGGAACATGGGTCTGCTGCAATCTGTTCTATCAAAAAGAGAAACAAAAATCTTAATGGGTCATTATTTTTTTATTTTTTTCATTTAAGAAAATTATCTGCCATTATTCTTTACAGTATTTCTTTTTTTCTTCTAAATTATCTCCTGTTGGAACTTTTACGTGACTTTTTCTGCAGTTTTTATTGTCTCCATTTCTTCATTACGGGAGACATTTTATGTAGGCTGTATGGACCACACAGTTCCTGTCACTACTATTCAGTTCCACTGTTGTAGCACGAGAGCAGTTAGAGATGTTACATCAATGAATGTCTGTGGCTGTATTCCAGGATACTTTATTTACAAAAAGTGGTATCCAGGGCCTACAGGCCTTAGCTTACCAATTCCTGGGCTAGGTTATGCTAGTGTATTAAACATTCTTGACATCTCACTCGTCCAAGATATCAAATAGTTATTTTATTTTTCTCTTCCTCATGCTACATGTTTATTTTAGATATATCAATGGCACTCTGCTCATTGCAGTTTTTCAGGGATACTAGCTAAGACATCTTGTTGGCACTCAAACAGAAAAGAATGTTCTGGCAATTAAATATTTACTTTGGAAGACATACTCATCACACGCATTCAATCACTCGTTGGCTAGAAATATGATGGGCCACGCATAATCCTCTAAGTGTACAAAGTGACCAGGAAGGGTAATCTTATGGCAGTCAAAAAACAGACAAATCAAATGAGTGGCTCTAGTGTCCACTTAGGTGAGTTTTAACCTTTTTTAAATAGATTCATTTCTTTTTCCTTCGATATTAGTATTCTTATATTTATCTTCTAATTTACCAATTCTTGTTCCATATGTGTCTACGTTTTTATTTTAAATGTCCATTTACATTTTAATTCTAATGACTATTTTTTATTTTTAAAAATGCAATATGTTCTTTTTTAAATCTGTCATTTACACATATTGTTTTGTGTTTGCTTTGGTGTTTTCTAGGTGCTCATTGGTGTATTTCATTCATCTCTTTATCAGTCTGCAGCTTATTGCCTGGGTGTCTGTCTGGTGGTGTTTGGTCTAAATCCACCTCCTCCCCCCAAGTCAGGGAGCCTCAGTGTCACTGCACATGCTAACTCATGGGGCTCTTGGTTCTATTTTTGCTTCTGTCATGCCGTAAAATGTTAAACCAGTATAGCCACAGAATTGCAGAATTGAAAGGCTCTCTTTCATCTTTTGAGGTAGATGACAACCTTAACATCATGTTAATGGGGGAAAATTATTTGATGATGTAGAGAAAAACTTCAGCTAAAGCAGATAATTAATGTTTCTCCTAATGTCCGTTATCACCAGTATAGCAGATAGCAGTATAGCAGAAAAAATACTATATTTTTAATGTAAAATCTAAAGGAAAAAACAACGTCAGATAATCTGTATGAATTATTTTATATACTAATCACAACAACTTCACAAATTTGGTATTTTTAAAATGAGTAATAAAATAAGAAATATAAGGCTAACTTGCCCTCAGTCATTCAGCTGCTACACGGTGAAGCTAGGATTTGAACCCTGGATCTCACTCAATGCCTATATCTTTTGACTCTTTTGTGCACATTTTCTTCCTTCAGTGTTGTAAAGCAATCATATGACTTACAATTTGATAACAAAATTACAACAAAGTTTGATATTTTCAAAATAAATTAATAAAAAATTCGCTGGAATTAGCTCAGCAATCCTTTCTGTTTTCGCCCTGAAGCCATGATCAGGCAAACATTTCAAAGTTCCATAATTTATCTGCAAATGATTGAGTCATAGAACAACATAAAATATGAAATATCTGACATAAAATCTACCTAAAGCAATTTATGAAATACCTGAAGGAATACTAAATTTTAAAAACCAACAATATAAATTTAGGTCAGGTCAATAAGACAAGCTTGCCAGGTTTCAGGACTAGAAATTATGCTCATGTGAGTAACTGTCCCTCAATTCTGGTATCATTCAAAACAATTACCAAAATATGAAATTAAATGGCTGATCAAATCCAAGCATATACTTAGTCAACAGGAGCCGGGCAGCTTTCATTATTCATTATTCATTAAGATCAGCAAAGAATTCCCACCACCCTTCTCAAATTTAGCATTTAATTTTCAGAGAAGCAGCAGAGATGATCTTCGTGTTTCTAGCTGATTAAGTCGGTAGTCCCTGGATAGGTTTGTGTGCTTGCAGGGAGTATTGCCACATCCTTAAAAGGTTCCTTGAAGAACTTAAAGCCCATATGAAAAGATGCCACACAGATTTCTGAGTAATGGGCAGGGGACATGCGAAGGGATGAATCAATTCCCATCTCCCATCTCACCTCCCTGTAGTATTTCTTTTTCTTTCTTTTCTATTTTGTTTTTTTTTTTTTTTTTTGGACCGAGTTTCACTCTCGTTGCCCAGGCTGGAGTGCAATGGCATGATTTTGGCTCACTGCAACCTCCCCCTCCCGGGTTCAACCAATTCTGCCTCAGCCTCCCGAGTAGCTGAGGTTACAGGCATGTGCCACCATGCCTGGCTAATTTTGTATTTTTAGTAGAGACGGGGTTTCTCCATGTTGGTCAGGCTGGTCTCGAACTCCCAACCTCAGGCGATCCACCTGCCTCGGCCTCCCAAAGTGCTGAGATTACAGGCTTGAGCCCCTGCGCCCAACCTCCTCATGGTATTTCTTAGCATTCCCCACTAGACACTTCAACAGAAATAATCATAGTGAGTCTATTAATAAATGAATAAAAGGTTTATGGACTCATGTGTTCATGTATGGAAAGGATAAATTAAGTAGATTATATATACTATATAAACTAGCACTGGAATAAATTCCACTACAAAAAAAAAGAATCCTAAATG
Organism: Homo sapiens; assembly: GCF_000001405.40. Taxonomy (NCBI): domain Eukaryota; kingdom Metazoa; phylum Chordata; class Mammalia; order Primates; family Hominidae; genus Homo; species Homo sapiens. Next base: position 86,946,372 of record NC_000015.10, on the reverse strand, counting down.
TTATATCCTTAAGCTCAGTGAAGTATTCAAATAGCAGAATGGGAGTTTGAATTTTTATTAATTTCAGTGTTGTTTTAATTTTCTGGCCATCAGGCAAGATCCAGTCTGCTCAGCACATCACTTGTGCACGTGACTCTTCAACAACTTTTCCAAAGGCTTCTTCCAACCAAATAGTAGCCCCTTAACACTGCCTGTAATAAAATATTGCATCATAATTAGTGACCCGGGATGAACCTAGGTTGCTGTCTTTGAAAGAAATTTGAACTTAGAGTTGGGAGATGTGAGTTATAATTCTCACCCCACCTTAAAATATCTGTTTGACTTCGGGCAATTAAGTTAATCTTTCAGAAATTCTGATTCTGGAACTGTAAAATGAGAATTATAATACCTGTCTTCTGTTGAGTAGATGAAATCAGATAACGCACATGAAGGCACTTTAATGTGAAAGTGCTATACATTTGGGAAGAATTATTATTCTTTGACTCTGAGCTGTCCTTCAGCTGAATCTACTTGTAAAAACTTTGGTGAGGTCCAAAAGTATCTTTTTAAAGTGCTGTATCCCCAGACTGCTGACTAATAACAATGAATCAAAATAGAAAACATACATACACGCACACACATATGCACACACATATCATTCTACTATTCAATGAGTCAACCAATTTTAATAAGTTGTAACAGTTTTTTACTTTTCTTTTTTGAGATGGGGTCTCACTCTCTTGTCCACACTGAAGTGCAGTGGCACAATCTCAGCTCACTGCAACCTCTGCCTTCCAGGCTCAAGTGATCTTCCCACCTCAGCCTCCCAAGTAGCTGGGACCACAGGTGCATGCCACCACAACCGGCTAATTTTTTTTTGTATTTTTTGTAGAGACGGGGTTTCACCAGGTTGCCCAGGCTGTTCTCAATCCCCTCTGCTCAAGCCGTCTACCTGCCTCGGCTCCCCAAACTGCTGGGATTTACAGATGTGAGCCACTGTGCCCGGCTGGTTTTTTACTATCTTTTCTACTACCACCCATTGAATGGAAATAAATCTGTAAACTTTTTTTCTCTATCTTTACATATCGTGAACTCTTTTCATGATATCAAATATTTTCTTTATAACTTTTTTTTTTTTTTTTTTTTTTTAGTGATGGGGTCTTGCTCTGTTGCCCAGACTTGGGTGTCGTGGTAAGATCATAACTCACTGCAACCTCGAACTCCTGGTTCAGGCGATCCTCCTGCCTCAGCCTCCCAAGTAGCTAGGACTACAGTGTGCACCAGCACACCCAGGCATAACATTGTTTTATCAGCTGCTTACTATGTCATCATTTTACATGATAATTATAATTCCTATTTATTGCTATAATTTATTTACTGTGACATTGTAAACAATGATGTGACAAATTTCATAATACTTATATACACGATGACCATACATTCTGATTTGCTCAGGAAAGAGCCAGTTTACAGCCGTTGTCCTACTGTAAGTATTTAGAGAAAACCCTTTTCCCTGCAAAAGTCTCCTAGTTCGGTCAATAAATTGTATTGTCACTCTATCTTAAAGATTCTTACTTATTGCCCTTAAGAAAATTGAAAATGGAATTGCTGAGTAAAAGATGATAATTAATTCTACTTGTTTTCTAATGTGAAATACATATTCATTTCTGAAAATGAATTGAAGGTATTAAAAATTTGCAGATTTCATGAATGAAGGCATTAAAAATATGCAGATTACTTATGTAGGTACTACATATTCTTGGACTATCTTAAACAGTTATTTTTGTCCCTTCCTCTTTCAGTTCTACTGTGCGTCCCTTATGACTTCAACATTGCTAAAGTTCTGAGCAAAGCGATGTCCAGTCGAATGTTCTGTCTCTCTATCATCAGGACTGACTTTGAATTGGTCCCCTAACTCAGCTCAGTATGTTCCCCGAATGGTGCCATGCTTTCCCTGCACATGCTGGTCGGCCATCCTGAAACATGCCTGCCCTCATTATTATTATTATTATTATTTAGACGGAGTTTCACTTTTTGCCCAGGCTGGAGTGCAGTGGCACAATCTCAGCTCCCCGTAACCTCTGCCTCCCTGGTTCAAGCGATTTTCCTGCCTCAGCCTCCCAAGTAGCTGAAGTAGCTGGGACTACAGGCATGTGCCACCATGCCTGGCTAATTTTGTATTTTTAATAGAGACAGAGTTTCTCCATGTTGGTCAGGCTGGTCTCGAACTCCTGACCTCAGGTGATCCGCCCGCCTCAGCCTCCCAAAGTGCTGGGATTACAGGATGAGCCACCGCGCCCCACCCTTCATTCTTCACCTGACTCTTACTCTTCCTTCAGGTCTTATCTTAGATTTCATTTTATCTTAGGCATACTTTTTTGACACAGCATATGTTATACTGTGGCAGAGAAAGTTCGTGGTCCAAAAGTACTCCATGTGCCAGCTACATTCTCCAGTCTTCCTTGAAGTTAGGTTTGGGCCATTTGGCTGCTCCTGGCCAATGGGCTGGTGATACAGGAGCTAGAAGGAAATGATTTAGGCAGACAGCGAGGGTAAGAGAGTCCTTGGTAAGGTTTCCCTTTAATAAAAAGCAGCCTGAAAAATCAAGCTGCAAGCATAGATAAGCAAGCTAAAACTTGCATAGGGAAATGCCAGCAGCTGTGCCAATAGAAAAGGGATACCTGGAAGCCAGGTATATTCAACATGGAGGTTCCCTCTTCCTTTTTCTTCATCACCACATGTGCAGTAAAAAAGCAGGCAACATGGTGCCGGCCGGGTAGAGAACCCATCTGCATAACAAAAGATTAGGGTGGGGTGGCCAGCATCTTCACACACTGTGTGAATGGCGCACCTGGTCCAACCAATCTCTCGTGCCCTATGTAAATCAGACACCACATCCTCAAGGTCGTCTGTAAAACCCTGTGTATTTTGTCACAGAACCAGAAGACCTACTGGGGAGCTCCTGTCTCTCTGCAGGAGAGAGATATCACAGATTCCAAAATTAATAGAAATTTTGAATACTGTTTTGTGAATTTATTTTTTTCCACATCTGGATATGTTGTAATCTCTTTCCATGTCTTCTATGTCAGGATATAAAGTCCACACAAAGTTTCCAGTAGAATTGCCATTTTTCTTCTTCCTTATCATGCTAATCTTAAAAGTGATGTGTTCCAGATAGGTAGTTTCAAGATAGAACAGGACTCTTTAATTTGTATGAGACTTAGGTTAACTGAGAAATAATCCTTAAATTATTTTAAGTACCTGAGATTTTAGAGCTTTTACACTGTAACCAAATCTGTTAACTCTCCTGACTTATAGGAATCTTGGTTCCAAAAGTAGGGTAATGACGTTACAAAAACCTAATTTATGTGGCATTGAATAAGGAGTTGAGCAGTTAACAGTGAGGCTAAGAAGATGGTGATCCATTTTTTACAGTGAAAAGTGAGAACAGGTACAATGTGCCTGCAGTGTTAGAAGGAAATAATACAAAATTTAAAAGGCAGTTGTTACTGAGATATTAGCAACTATTGGTGGATTGACAAGGTATTACAAGAAAGACAAGAACTCAGTAATTCATTAGCCTCCTTATAAGTAGAAATGAACTGGAATGAAATAGAATCCAGAAAATTGGGTCCTTGCAGGGTTAGAAAAGCCGACTGTTTCTAAAGCCCAAACTGTAAGAGAAGGGATTACAAAAGGCTTTGAATCACAAACGCTCAGTAAGATAAAGTGATTCTAGGCAAAGATCAGATTGAGTTTTAAGGTATTTTAATTAAGTTGAGAGAGAGAGGTGTGAGGGAAAAAATGAAAAGTAATAAAGTGGCTCTAAAATCTATGTCTCTTCAGATGTCTAGGTGTGGTTGCTGGTTCCTGGAACTGAGTGAGAGTCCATGAGTCAGAATCTGATTAACTTTTTGAGACAATGAATAACCTAAGAAGCCACAAGTTCAGAATGTAAACATATCTTTTACTGAAACAATTCTAAAACCCTCGGAAGAAACTTCCCGACAGTAGAGTCAGGGAATCTAGAAGAAATGTCAAATGAGCCCTTCCAGGAGTAGAACCATGACTTCCTCTTGAGTCCTCCTCCACCTTAGGGGATGAAAACTTCACAGTCCTCCAAGCACAATTGCTATGGGTGGTGACTGTTGCTGTCTCCCTCACATTCCCTTTTTAAAATGGGAGTATTTACTACAGTTATCCTATTCTGGTTACACCACTGTGTACTGAATGTTTTGCGTATGTGTGTGTTTGTGTGTGTAGGTTTACAGGGGAGGCAGTTAAGGAGAAAAGGAACATCTTAGTTCTCAACTCTCTGGATCAAGAGTTGACTCTTCTGTCCTAATGGAGAGAATACTGTATATTGCCTGGTTCGAGTTGGATGCCTGTGCTATTCATCCATTGCCTCTCAGTTCCAATATCACCCTTTTTACTGCCTTGTTGAAATAAATCTGCAATCTTAACTCTTTTTCTTCCACCAGCTAGCACTAATTCACTACAAGGCACTGGAGAGAGATTCTGGCAGAGAAGAATTTTGCCTCCTGCTTCTGGCATGTTCCCTGGGCCTGCTCCTGTAGTGTGCATGGTTCTCCTGCATCAGGCTCTGCATTGCATGGCAGTCAGCAGCTCTCAATGGCTGGCACCTTGCCTGGCAGCTCTTCTTTGAGCACTTTGTTGTAGAGTGCCTCCAGTAAGAAAGATGCCTCCTGGTGAAGTTTTCCTGGAGGGCAGTTTTCCAGCAAATTCCAAAGGGCCTATTTCCAGCAAGATCTGCCAGGATGGCTTCTCTACGTATATTATCTCTATATACAGTGACTTCTCTGCCATCATGAGCCACAAAATGGCCTCTCCAGCCAGGTTGGATCTCAGCTTTGGGTGGGGAATGGCCACTGCAGAGGGCTCTTCCTTGGGCGTGATGTCTCTGCTCCATAGCTGTGACTGTTCGTCATGTTTACTATTTCTATGTTCTTTAGAGTTCTCGACTTCCAGTGACCTAATTCCTGATTACTCCAATTCCCTATTAGAATATTTATATTACCATAACTGTTAAAGTACTGTGTAGTTTTTCTCCTGACTGACCCAGAAATTACAACGTCCTGACAGGGTTGAGCTTTAGCTTTTCCTCCTGGGGAAGTGTGAATACATTTCAAATGTGGAGGAAAAGAGTCTCAGAATATTTAACCAAAAGCCAAAGAGTTTGTGCTCTTCAAATATATCCATTCATCTTGTAAATGTCACAGTCTCCTTTGCAAGTAGATTCCATGTTACTTAGAACCATGTTTTTTACTTCATATCACAGCACGCATAGGACCAAAGAGTATGGTTTATCTACTGATTGCTTTTGCCAAAAGACAAAGTTACAAGAATTACATTTAAAGATCTAAGGTTGCTTTATTTGAGGTCCTAGAATTGGGCAACACTTCATTTCATAAAATGGAATAAGTTCCAGTGAGCTGAGCAGAGGACATTGGTTTTATAGGCAGAGCAGGGCTGAAGAAAGCAGAAACAAAGAACAGGAAGTGATTGGTCCTTTCAAATTTATATTTCTTGTAAGGTAGGAAAACAGAAACAAAACAATAGAAAAGTGATTGGCTAACATCAAGTTACTTCAGGTTACTTTTTGTTTAAGAGTTAAAGGCAGAGGGAACTTCATTACCACGCCAATTGAAACTGGCCTGTTTGGGAAATTTGCCTATCTCTCCCTCCAGATTTCTCAAGTTGGATAACTCAGTTTTGGTTTGGTGATGTGGAGCCTCAGCATAAGTGACTCCATTTTGACTTTTAGTTTGGTCTGTTGGGCCCTTGTGTGTGCACTTAGTTTGTAACAATTTCCTTCTATAATTTTTATTCAACACTCTTATAAGTTCCCTGAAGGTAGGGACCATGGCTTAGTGGTCAACATTATATGCCAGGTATTCAGCATATAACCAGTACTTAATGAGTATTTGTGATTCAATGAGTGAGTGCCTGATCACTCAGAGAGATTACGTTTCTTGGACACTTACCATGTGCTGTCAATCTTCTAAATAGTTTGATAAATCATCTCAGCTGAAACAGCAACTCTATGAGGTCTATATTATTATTATCTCCATTTTACAGATCAACAAATTAAGAGGTTAAGTTTTTCTAAAAGAAAGTGTGTTTCAAACAAGACATACCAAATCAAAGGGCTCCATTAGAAACAGTGCACTCAACCGGGCACAGGCTCATGTCTGTAAGCACTTTGAGAGGCCAAGGCAGGTGGAGCTCTTGAGCATAGAAGTTCGAGCCCAGGCTGAGCAACACAGAGAAACCCCGTCTCTACCAAAAAAAAAAAAAAAAAAAAAAAAAAAAGGACTACCAAAATTAGCTGAGTTTGTTGACACATGCCTGTAGTTCCAGCTACTAGGGAGGCTGAGGTGGGAGGATTGCTTGAGCCTGGGAGGTCAAGGCTGTGGTGAATCAATAATGGTTCCACCTGGGCCAGTGTAAGACCCTGTCTGGAAAAAAAAAAGCATATATATATAAAATAAAAAAAGAAACAGCGTACTCTATTCTCTCCCATGGTTATCAAGATTCTGCCAAAATTACTGGTGCATTTGGCTGACTTTCTTCCTTATTCCAGTCTTCTGCTTATTTGCCACTCAGGTGATCAGCAAAAGCTCAGAAAGAGTGGTACTGATGGAGAGGATAAATGCTTACCCAAACTCACATAAGTTGGCATATCTGCAGGGAAACATCACGTTAGCCTTTGAGGAGAGAGGTAAGTTATTAGGCTGTATTAGGATTCTTTAGAGGGACAGGACTAACAGGATAGATGTATATTTGAAGGGGAGTTTATTAAGGGGTGTTGACCCACACGATCACGAGGTGAAGTCCCACAATAGGCTATCTGCAGGCTGAGGAGCAAGGAAGCCAGTCTGAGTCCCAAAATCTCAAGAGTAGGGAAGCCAACAGTGCAGCCTTCAGTTTGTGGCGGAAGGCCTGAGGGCCCCTGGGAAATCATTGGTGTAAGTCCAAGAGTCCAAAAGCTGAAGAACTTGGAGTCTGATGTTCAAGGGCAGGAAGCATGCAGCACAGGAGAAAGATGAGGGTCAGAAGACTCAGCAAGTCTGCTCTTTCTATCTTCTTCTGCCTGCTTTATTCTAGCTGAGCTGGCAGCTGATTAGACGGTGCCCATCCAGATTGAGAGTGGGTCTACCTCTCCCAGTCCATTGACTCAAATGTTAATCTCCTTTGGCAATACCCTCACAGACACACCCAGGAACAATACTTTGCACCTTCAATCCAATCAAGTTGACACTCAATATTAACCATCACACAGGCTATGCAGGGATCCAAACAAGAAAATGTGTAACAATTTCAGAAGTGGCAAAAAGCAACAACGAGATGGAAAAAGATGTGAAGGATGTGACAGTGAATGTGGGTCACCCCCAAGGCTCTTTGTGGCAAGACAACGCTGGAGCTTCTCCTTTGCATGAAACTGATTGATGCTGCAAGGTCCTGAAGGAAGACAGATGTTTTTTGTTTTGTTTTGTTTTAGTGCAGTTCTCCAGTAAAAAGAAAACCCAGGCGGTGAATAAATTCAGTCTTCTCCTTTGGGAGAAGTTCACTTCTACTGGGGCCAGAATCTGCTTTTACATACCCTGAACTAGAGGATCAGAGTATCCTCAAAAGGCTTTCTTGGTACTTCAACTCTGATATCCACCCATCCTTAGAACTACGGCTGCTGCTCCAAAACCTCATACCTTGCTTTCTCCAACCCCTGAGAGAGAGATATTGGCTTGAGTTAGTCTCAATTTTGTTAGGTATCCTGGACTAGGTGCTTGGAATGGCTGAGTGTCCCTCCAAGCAGATGGAACAGCCCCCATGCCATTCTTCCATATTAGTTGGAAATACGTTCAGCTGCCTGAATTAGAAAATCCCATGACAGAGGCATTAGGGAACAACACTTTGGTTTTCTCCAAAAGATCAGGGAGGTAGGCAATTACTATGATTATTTTAGTAGCTCTACCAAATTAGGTCAAAAGTTTCTTCCATTTTTGTGGCCTTCCTCTCCTGGTCACAGCGAGGTTACTGACACTCAAGCCATCATATCTGTGTCCCGTGCAAGATGGGAAGACTATAAAAGGGGAAAGGGCTCTTGGAGGCCATTCTATTTTCTATAATCAGGAAAGCAAATATTTTCATAGCTCATCTCTTCACACCCACTTCCCAGCAGACTTCCATGGGCAGCAAGTCTTCCCACAGAAGCAAGGGAAGCTGGAAAATTAGGGACCACACTTATCAGAAGTGTCTCTGCACAATCATGCCTTGGAATGGATATGTTGCTGCACCCCAAAAAAGTAGTGTGTCTCAAAACAAGGAACAATAAGAGACTAAATACTTGATGGGCAACCAACTGTATTGGCCATTTCTTCTATTTAATTTAATACATCAGACCTTACTCTGCTTCCCTTAGCTGTATGGTCTCACCTCTTGCAATTCTACTTTGAGGTCCCTGCATGCTTTACGTCCAGGCTGTAGAAGGATTGAGCCTGCTGAGGCTGTGCAACAGGGTAGTACATAGCATGTAATATTTTACAGGTTGAAAGAAACTTTTGTTTTAACTTTTATTTTAGTTTTGGAGGTACATGTGAAAGTTTGCCACATAGGTAAACTCATGTCATGGGGGTTTGTTGTACAGATTATTTCATCACCCAGGTATTAAGCCCAGTATCCAATAGTTATCTTTTCTGCTCCTCTCCCTCCTTCCATCCTCCATCCTCAAGTAGAACTCAGTGTCTATTGTTTTCTTCTTTGTGTGCATAAGTTCTCATCATTTAGCTCCCACTTATAAGTGAGAACATGTGATATTTGGTTTTCTGTTCCTATTTTAATTTGCTGAGGATAATGGCCTCTAGCTCCATCCATGTTCCTGCAAAGGACATTATTTCATTCCTTTTCATGGCTGCATAGTATTCCATGGAGTATATGTATTACACTTATCCAGTCTACGACTGATGAGCATTTAGATTGATTCCATGTCTTTGCTATTGTGACTAGTGCTGCAATGAACATTTGTGTGCTTATGTCTTTATAGTAAAATGATTTATATTCCTCTGGATATATGCGCAGTAATGAGATTGCTGGGTTTAATGGTAGTTCTGCTTTTAGCTCTTTGAGGAATCACCATACTGCTTTCCACAATTGTTGAACTAATTTACACTCCCACTAACAGTGAATAAGTGTTCCCGTTACTCCACAACCTCACTAGCATCTGTTACTTTCAGACTTTTTCATAATAGCATTCTTAGAGGTGTGAGATGATATCTCATTGTGGTTTCCATTTGCATTTCTCTAATGATCAGTGATATTGAGCTTTTCTTCATATGCTTGTTGGCTGCATGTATGTCTTCTTTTGAAAGGTGGCTGTTCATGTCCTTTGCCCACTTTTTAATGGGGTTGTATGTTTCCTTTCATAAATTTATATAAGTTCCTTAAGGATGCTGGATATGAGACCTTTGTCAGATGCATAGTTGGAAAATATTTTCTCCCATTTTGTAGGTTGTCTGTTTACCGTGTTAATACTTTCTTTTTCTGTGCAGAAGCTCTTAAGTTGAATTATATCCCACTTGTCAATTTTTGCTTTTACTGCGATTGCTTTTGGTGTCTTTGTTATGAAATCTTTGTCTGTTCCTATGTCTAGCATGGTATTGCCTAGGTTGTCTTCCAGGATTTTTTACAGTTTTGGGTTTTACAATTAAGTCTTTAATTCATCTTGTGTTGATTTTTGTTTATGGTATAAGGAAGAGGTCCAGCTTCAATCTTCTACATATGGCTAGCCAGTTATCCAAGCACCATTTATTGACTAGGGAGGCTTTTCCCCATTACTTGTTTTTGTCAGAGAAGAAATATTTTAATAGTCCTGATAACATTCCCGTATCTTGAATGTCCTGCTAACATTCCCCTATCTACAAAGCATAGCACCTGGGGTGGTGTTGAGTCTGGATTCCTTGGAAGTGTCAATATACACCAGATAATGGCCAGTTTTCCACAAGAATATAGATGACTAGCACTTCCTGTCACAATACCTGGCACAGTGAGTAATTTACTTTTGTTTTTTTTCTTGTTTATCTGTTGTTCTCTCTCTCTTTCTCTCTCTGTCACACACACACACACACACACACACACATACATACACACTGCTGTTTACAATTTGGCAATGCATTTGTTGTCCATTCAAAAGCACTCATTGACAAAGATGGGCTCTCTCGAGTGTGGCTGAGATGGTGTGCACTTAGTGGCACTGCAGAACCCCAGGGCCTGGGCACCAGGGCTGCACCTGCCGAGCAGCCCGCCTGTGAGACCCATCCTCGGCCGCTCTGCTGCTCAGTGGCGGCCTCTGCCTTGCCTGCTGGAGCAGGGCTCTTCAGCCGAGGACAGGACAAGTCTCTCCTTTATTCAAGTCTTTCACTGAGCTCCCAGAGCTGCAGTTGCGAATCTTTTGTTTTTATTTGTAAACTAAGTGAATTTGACCTGGAAATCACCAAAGGGGAATACATTTGGAACATTGAAATGCCATTTTTACAGGCACATTTCTAATCATAGCTGCCCTTTAAAACCCACATACAATTGTCACCTTGAGTTCCCCTGTTTTCCAGCCTCAGTGCGGCTCTCTTTGCAAATCCCACAGCATGACAACAACAAGATTTCATTTTTAGTCAGACTTGACACTGGCTAAACACTAACGTGGGCTCTTTATGTTTCCATAAACTCTCTTATCACAGAGCCACCAGTAGAGCATGGGAAACTGAAAAATAAGTTCCAATTAGAGACTGTGTTGGTCCACTCAGGGTGATATGGCTCCCAGTGTTTTTAGAGAGGGAAAGAGCATAAAAGAAGAAGGCTGTGTGCCCCAGCTTGCCCCTGAAGGAGCTGTGACCACTATGGTGGCATGGGGAAATGTCACTCATTAGCTGGCTTGCCTCCTAGCCTAGAATTTGTTCTTACCTTCTCTGTCTTCTCCTAAGCCATCCCTTTCTCTGAGCAAATCCAATGCCTTAGAGCACCACCAATGTATTCACGTGTACAATTAATTTTAATGTCACATGTATAACCATAACTCCGTGTGGTGACTCACAGTGCCCGCATTATCCTCTTTGCCAAGTAAATGGTAAAACACTGAACGACCCTCTAATTGATCTCTGGGGTCACAACAAGACCTGACAACGGGACTCACCAGGCACAAGAACATGATGGAGAAGTCTGAAAACAGAAAATGGAGAGGAATCGGGGAGAAAATCCGCTGAGTTCATTTTCACTCCCATAATGAAAAGAAATCTGGTTCAGCCTGGAGGATTACAAAATAGGACAAGACCAAGGTGACCCCAGCTGCAGTGTAAATTTATTTTATAGTTTTTACATTTTAACTTAAATGCTACATTTGTCCCATTTATTATGGCACAAGGTTGGAAAATTTGGTGTGATATCAGGAGGAGAATGGATCCAGAATATCTGGAGTATGTCTTATCGTCCTACCAACAATTTCCCCAAAATCAGTGTTTAAAAAATATTTATCAATATATGTAGAGGTTATTTTGGCAGCCCATGGAAAAAGGGAACTTACTATTTTCCTCACCATGTATCTGGTACCCAGAAGTAACCACAATAATAAATAACTACACTATTAAAAGGCAACATTTATTGTGTGCTTACTTTGAGCCAGATACTGTTGAAGTACTGTATTAACCAGCTCCAGGGGCTATAATCTTAATCATGACATCCTATTGACCCTGTAACTTATAAATATAACATAGTATGCAGTTAATAAATATTTATTTTAGCCATCTCCAAGAACTTTGGGAGACAGTTTTGTTCTGCTATTTACTTTTTTTTTTTAACCTATATAAGGTTTGAAATGGAGAAATAAGATAATAGCAAGGAGGAAGTCTGTAAGCACAGAACATACTGGCTTGTTTATTCTGCCTCTCTCTGGTTCAGATGAGGGAATATAGTTGAAGATTCACACATTCTGGTCTATTGTTCTAAATGGATGATCCCAAAGACTTATTCTTGGCCAATAGGGAGCTGTTAGACCTTTTTCTTGCTTTAACAGCTTTCTGGACACTTAAAGAGATAAAATAAGGAATAAATCATTTGATGCCCCTACTTTGCCACTGGGAACATTGGGTTAACAGCACTCACAAGCTGCAGAACAAGTCTCCTTGGAGAGGTGAATTCACTTACTCCTCTCCCCAGCTCACAGCAGCTTTTAGCTGTTTATCATAATTCTGACCTCTGAGCATAAATTTGAAGAGATAATGGATGAAAAAACACTCTATTAAAAGTATAGTGCAGGAAGCCAGTGCTCTCTGATGATTTTATTATTTTGTTTCTATAACTGAGATTCATCATAGAATCCACAGACGGAGAACATTAGAGATGATCTTGCCCAACTTGTTCAATTTTTAGACGGAAGAATTGAAGATGGAGAAACTTAATAAGGCCACAGAGCTTGTACTGGGCAGTGTTAGAACCTCAACCAAGATCTCCTGACATCCAAACTAGAGTTGTTTTTCCCAAAGTGGCAATTCCTCCGGCAAGGGAGCCTATGTTATATGCATTGCATAAGACACTGGGGAATACAAAGAGATGGGTGTAAGAGAAGACTTAGTGGTTAGAATAGAGCTATTCTTTGAAGGAACCGGATACACGGAAAGTGGGTAGAGTGAAATAAAACACAGGCAGGCAGATAAAACGTGATCATTGAGGAGGGGATGTAATCACCTAGCAGGTTCTTCCTGCCTGCTGCACAGACAAATCCAATTCCCTGAGACTGTGGTATTGCAGTCAAGAAAGGAGTTTAACTGATGCAAGGCCAGACACACAGGATAACTGGAGTTGATCTCAAAAGATCAATCTTAGGTTCTACAATAGAGATGAGATCTATGAGAGCAATTGGGGAAGTCACAAATCTTGCGACCTCTGGCTACATGACTCCTGAGCTGTAATGAGCTATAGAAATTATGCCTACATTTGAGCAGAATTCAGACCCCTCCCATATCCCTTATTTTGTGGCCTTTTGGTTTCATCCCCCAAACAAGGAGGGGATCAGTTGTAGGGAGGGACTATTATCATCCTTGCTTCAAAGTTAAACTAAAAACTAAAGTCCTCCCATGGTTATCTTGGCCTCTGCCCAGGAATGAACAGGGACAGCCAGCCTGTAAGGCTACAAGCAGGATGGAGTCAGCCACGTTAGATTTCTCTCACTTCCATAATCTTTGCAAAGGTGGTTTCAGAGAAACTGTTAAGGTCATGTTTGAAGACTAGTTATAGATTAGACTAGCACATGAAAAGTCTCAAACAGCAGAATTAAAGGCAGTCTATCTTGTTTAAAATTCTATTATTATTTATTCAACTGCATATTCACAAATTATGCCTCAATATTTAGAAGAATGACTTACACTTAGCCTTAAAAAATCACCATGGAGATGACAGCTGACTAACAATTCTGTTTCCACCAGGAAGGCTCTCACAGACAGTCAAGACCAGAACATTTTTTTCAAGCACTTAAAACATTGGCTAAAAGTCTTCTCATCAGAAAGAAAATCAGTCCAGATTCAAGTAACTAGACTTAATGGGACAAAACTTCCATAAAAGGTTAATTTCTGCCTTCAGCAAAACATTCATAATGGGCCATTATATGGTAAGCAGTGAAGCAGGAGAATGGGGAGTCAGCCATAGTTGATGTCATTGCAAAGCGATTTTGGAAAAAAATACAAGACTCAGGACCAACCCCTGTCCTTGCTTCACGGAGTTGACTAAATGTGACCTAACTGATTGTCTCTGAAGACTGGTGATTTGATTTATTCTCAGCAATTCTCTTTTCAAACAATTCTCTGGCTTCAACACCCACGCAAAGCTATTATACATAGCAAGAAGGGAAGGAAAGAGTTTCCACGCACCCTTTGAAACAGGTCCTAAACACTATCAAATCAGCTTATCCACACAGCAGTCCATTTTAGAACCTGAAAGATCTGAACTGCTGGCATTAATCAAATGACTTGAGTAATGCCTGAACACCCCTTCTCCACTTTTAAATGTGTTGACAGAGCCTAAAGTTAATGGTCAGGTCTATCCTTGCAGTAATATCATGTTTAGAAATTACTTCGTTGTTTATATGCACTTAGGGAATTTTACATTATACATTAGCAATAGTTGATATAACAGGGCTCTTCAAATGGGAGGGTGTTGGAAGGAGTCTTGTGTTAGGTCTTGGGAAACCTGGGTTTGAGTCCTGTCTTTCCTACCTGAATGACCTCAGGAACTAATTATATTTTAGCCTCACTTCCTCCGTGAGTAAACTGTACAAGCTAGATAAGATAAATTTAAAATCCCTTCCAGCTTTATAACTCTATGATTCCACAATTACATTCATTTTGTCCTTCAGAATATCAAACAGAACCACAAGTAGGCATTTAATAAACATTGCTAGATAGCATCACACTTGATTTTTTTTTACTGCTTGCATGTCTTCCCCTAAACCATTCAAGAATTTTAAAGTATTCAAATAAAGATTCTGCAAATTGTACATTTCATTTTGCTTATATATTTAGGCAACCATGATGCCTTCAGGGTTATAGTTATAAATGATGGCACTGGCTTGTTTTAAGAAGCAAATAACTCTAGGAAAATAGAATTCAGAGTATTTCTACCCAAGGTCCCCCCTCCACCTCACACCACACACATACCTTAAAATTTCAGAAACGTATCAAATGAAAAAGATTTGTTAGCATGGAATTGATCAATACAACAACCAGCAGCAGCAGCAGCAGCAGCAGCAGCAGCAGCAGCAGCAGCAGCAGCAAAAGCACCACTATTCATTTTGTTGCTGTAATTTTTCAGTGAAATAATGTAATTTTTTTTATGTAGATTCCTATTGTTACCAAACTGAACTGGGGTCCACTTGCCCAGCATGGTAAGGCCAAACATTCCTACCCAGGTTTTGCAGCAGGAGAAAGGTGGGTGTTTATCTGCAAGGCGCCAAGCAAGGAGAATCAGGTACCTCACTCTGAAGACCTGACCTCTCTGATAGCTTACAAACAAGGGTTGTTAAACGTAGGGGTAAATTTCAGGGAAGCGGAAGTTACAGGCAAAATTGTAAATCAACACATGGAGGTTATCCTTTGGTTTGGCCTATAAAGGCGAAATATCTTGAAGCGAAGGGTAACATGTCATAAGTAGATTCAAAGATTTTCTGATTTGCAATTGGTTAAGGAAAGGAAGCATTGTCTAAAGACTTGGGGTCAACAGAAAAGGATGCTAGCTTTGGCTTATGAGGATGACTCCTTCCAGGCCTCCGAGGAAGAAATTTGGAGTAAAAGACGGCAGGCAGTCAGAGTCCAGTCCTCAGCTCCTCCTTATCTGAGGTCTACATGCCAGCAGATCTGTTTGGTGGGGGTCTGGGTTTCTGAAAAACAACTAAGGGATTTATGGTAAGATGTTATCTTTAGTTTCTATAGGGAATCAGACATCTCGCAACTCTAACTTCCTTGACTATTGTTTTAAGCCACTATTACCTTTTTGCTTGCCAAGTTGCTCATTTACTTTTATGTGCCTGGAATTCCCCTTGAAGAAACTCAAGATTTTCCTTTATATCTATGGTTCAGGGGCTGGCAGGCCCCTAAGAGGGATCCCTGATCTATCTCACTTTGAAAATAATTGTTGAATTATTCTGAGTATTTTCTTTTTTATCATTTTTTTCATGGACCCTTAAATCCTATAACGAACAGCTAGCACATGGCAGATAAATGTATTTTCTTTCGCTCATATGCTGAAAATAATTGTTTATTTTTAAGGGAGCTATCTACAACCAGAGAAAATATTTATTAAATAGCAGTCAAATTGAAATGATGACCTCTAAGTAAGCATCTCAGAGGTCTCCCTTGCTTATTGTTAATTACAGAATAAACAGATCTCCCGAAGCAGTGCCCCCAACAGAATGGACCTCCTCTTATCACTGGCAACTGCTATCCCGCCCCTGTCCCTCCCTGCCTCACGCTGACCCCTTATATTTATATAGTAGTGATAAATAAATTGTCACATGCATCACTTCATCCTGTTCATAGTTACCCTAAGTGGAAAGTAGGACAGGATTTTTATTTTCACTCTGGAGGGTTTTTCAGAGTTGGTGACTTGCCTGAAGTCACCCTATCAGCAGTTAACTGGAACAAGGATATAGGTCTCCTAACTCCCATTCCAGTGATATTCGTTATATTTTGTGGCATGGGAAGGAGTGAGCCATTGACGATAATATTCATCATTTATTTGTGCCCTTTTAAGTAGTATCTGGGGGAAGACAAATACCATGATTTATGGTATGTTTCCTTCGGCAAGCAAGCGTGGATTGTTGGAATGCATGATAGACAATTTACACACACCTACCTATGTGCTTACCAAAATATTAGCCAGCCAAAGGGCATTTATAAATGAGAATTGGAATAAAATTGAGGAAAGGCAGGTAGGCAACCTCCATGAAGTGGCATATTCTAGTTTACCCAGTTTAGAAATCATATTCATCTGTGAATATGTTCATCTGTGAATATGATATATAGAACTTCAGTTGGATGCCAGTGATGAATGTCAATGATCATAAAGAAAGCTATTACTGGAAGTTTTTCAGTTATAGTCAAAGCTGAAACACGCTGGCTCTCTGGAAAGCCCGGATTCCTCTGAAGATCACCAGGCTGATGGATAGTGCCATGCAGTCCTAATATTTTGAGAACTGGATGTTGAATTGTGTATCTGAAAGGAACCTCTGGGCACTGCTCTTTCATAATTTTGTGACTTGCTAGACTGGGAATCTCTTCATTCCAGAGCATTAGTATTACTTGGATGCCATTCCCTAAGATGCATCTACCTGGCCATGTAGGCAAAGGTGGTGAAAATTCACAGGTAGATTCAGGCCTCTGAGTTGATATTGGAGGGGAATGTGATCAGTTGCTGGGATTGTGAGGCGTAGCTATCCCATTTTGTGTATTGTCCAGAGGTTGAGGAAAGAGTATTAAAAAACTGTTTCCTTGATAATCATGTTGATAGTCTTTTTGTTCAGAGCCACAAAGGGCAGACCTTGAAAAGGTATCTCAACCTTCAATCTTTCCCCATTTAAAAAAGCCAGACCAGATGTCACTACTATTGCTATTTACATCAGATTCTTTCTTATTAAGAGAATGTTTCAAGACCTGACCTGAGGAGACTGAATAGTGGTAAATGAAAACCAAATAGGAAAGAATGTAAATGAATAGTGGACTGAGGAGGAGGACATGGCAGACAGTGGAAGAAACTACAAATAAACACTGCACTCCAGCCTGTCGACAGAACCAAGACTCTGTCTCAGAGAGACAGGGAGTTTGAAAAAAAGAGTTTCAGTATGGAATGATTAAAAAAAAGTTCTGGAGATAATAGTTGCAAAACAATGTGTATGACACTAAATTGTACATTTTAAATGGTTAAATGGTAAATTCAATGTTATGCATATTTTACCACAATAAAAAATAAATTATTAAAATGTGAAAAAAATTATAAATTAACACAGCTTAAATTAACATTCAGCAACCTCACATGTAAAATAAACAGGTAAAATATGAGAGACAACTTAATTACTTTCATTCATTCAAATGAAATGCTTTATTGCCAGAAACATTGTAGTTAGAAGAGATTGGGATAGAAGAGGCAGAGGGGCACATTCAAAATGACCAAAAGGATATAATTCATACACATACAGAAAACATGCATGGTACTTGGAGAAAAAGATAGATATGAGTGATAGAGCATCGTTGTTGTTAAGACTCATACGTTCTTCCACATTTGTAGAAGCTCTGCAGCACGTGATAGTGCAGTGGAAAGAGCAAACCAGCCCTAGACTCAAATAAATGCTCCAGTCCATATTAGCTCACCAGTTTCAGGAAAGGGGCTTTACATCACTGAGCCTCAAAGAAAATCGGGTTCATTGTCAGGATTGATTTGGACTCAGACGGGACCTGAAAATCTTTCTGCAGACAGGGCCTCTCTTAGGCCAGGTCCTCCCTGGTCCCTTCCACCGTGAGCTGTGTGTTCTCTGCCTTTGCTTCTCTCTGTGCCTATGCCCTGGTTGGTCCATTCTGTTCCTCTGCCCTCTCTTTGCTCTGCATCACAGATTCTGACAGCCCAAGGGCTCAGCATCCTTACTTGAGTTTGCATATTGTTCTTCATGCCATCAATTGCCTTATGACTTTTCAAAACCTTTCAATGAGCTAATTAAGTCATTATCTTGATATTCTTAGTTTAAATGGCCCATACAGGGATCTGACTGGCCTAGCTTATCCTTCCTTTTTTGTTTTATACATTTATTTCTATTTCCTCAGACATTCCTTACATAAAGTACATTTTAAGTGCAAGACTCAAACATATATACACACATGCTCACAATATACATACACACACATTTTATATATATATATGCATATATAAAACTATGAATTTGCTGTCCTTGAAGTAGCTGCTCACCTTTGGTCTAAATATTTAAAGGGAAGGGTGAGGTCAGGTAATACACAATATTGCAACCTAGGTTTGTCCTTCAATCAGTGGTTTTGAGAGGAACAACTGCCCTAGAGGTCTGTGTAGGCAAGCAGACACAATGATTGACATTTCTAGTATGCTGGCACATGGTAATTTTTTTTCAATAACTACTACTGGTCATGATTATCAATATTGGATTATATTATTGCTACTTCCTCTATTCATTATAGCCTTCTGCCTAGATCTTAGCCTAAAGTAACTTTTTAAAAATAATTTTATTTATTTATTTCAAAGATGGGGTCTTGCTCTGTCACCCAGGTTGGAGTGCAGTAGTATGATCATAGCTCACTGCAGCCTGGAACTCCTGGGCTCCAGTGATCCTCCTGCCTCAGCCTCTCAAGTAGCTAGGACTTATAGGCCTGTGCCACCACACCTGGCTATTTTTTTTTTTTGTAAAGATGGGGTCTCCCTTTATTGCCCAGGCTGGTGTCAAACTCCTGGCTTCAAGTGATCCTCCCACCTCAGCCTCCCAAAGTGCTGGGCTTCCAGGAACAAGCCACCACACCTGGCCTAAAATAACTTTCCTTATTATTTGTAAGTTGAGCTACTTTGAGGCATAAGGAACAGAGATACTCAGTTTATCCTAAATAGCATTTTACAATTATACTAAGCAGGATTCCTAGAGTGGAGATTTTATTTTATTTTATTTTATTATTTATTTATTTATTTATTTATTTTTAAGATGGAGTCTCACACTGTCGCCTGGGGTGGAGTGCAATGGCATGAACTCGGCTCACTGCAACCTCTGCCTTCTGGGTTCAAGCGATTCTCCTGCCTCAGCCTCCTGAGCAGCTAGGATTACAGGCGCCCACCACCACACCAGGCTAATGTTTTGCATTTTTAGTAGAGACGGGTTACACTATGTTGGCCAGATTAGTCTCGAACTCCTGACCATGGGATCCACCCGCCTTGGCCTCCCAAAGTGCTGGGATTACAGGCATGAGCTACCGCGCCTGGCCTGAGTGGAGATTTTATTGAGGTCAATGCAATAGTTCTAAAAGTACAACTCCTGCTCTGATGATGCATAGAAATTCTGGTGATTGCCCTGTGGTATCCAATCCTCCAGACTCTGGCTTGAATGACTTGGCAATTTTTTACCTCTATTTCTATTATTAGCACTGCTTTTGTAAAATTATTCTACATGTGTCTCAAATTCAAACTCTTCAACAAAGAAAAATCGAATTGGCTTGTTAAGTCTCCATCCAGTCTATGGCATTCCTATTAGAGCTTTCACACCAAGTCACTTCATAGATCTAAGGAATCCCTATAAATTGACTTGCTTCTTTTGGGTTGGGGGTCAAATCCATCGTGTTCAAGGTCATGATATCATTGAACACAAACAAAATGACCTATTTGTATGGAGTCTCTTAAAAGGAGGTTGTTTACATGGCAGGTATACTAAGCTATTGGAAAGTCATTGTGACTGGCTAGCACCTTGCCTGGCCTGAATGGTTCAAAGTCTCAATAAGTTTCTAGGACCAGAACGAATGGCATTCATTTTGTTCAGAAAAGATTTATGTAGTGAGGATAATGTAAGACGAAGTAAAGTCATGGAGATGGAAGTTGGCAATCCTCCACAATAACTTCTTTTCATCTGCAGCAGATAGAAAGGAGAGGATAGACAGAGGCTTACAGACCTAAAGAGAAGAAAATGACAGGGGCAAAAGGAATAGGGGAGAAACATGAAAGGAACGTGGAGGGAAAAGGTAATGGAAGGAAAGGAGAGGAGATGAAGCAGATATTGACGTTTTCCTTCTCCTATAGGTTAGTGTTCTCCTGCTTTCCCTGATCCAGACTCTCCTTTTCGCACCTATAATCCCAGCACTTTGGGAGGCTGAGGCGGGTGAATCACAAGGTCAGGAGATTGAGACCATCGTAACTAACACAGTGAAACCCCGTCTCTATTAAGAATACAGAAAATTAGCCGGGCATGGTGGCGGGCGCCTGTAGTCCCAGCTACTTGGGAGGCTAAGACAGGAGAATGGCTTGAACCTGGGAGGTGGAGGTTGCAGTGAGCCGAGATGGCGCCACTGCACTCCAGCCTGGGTGACAGAGTGAGACTCTGTCTCAAAAATAAAAAATAAAAAAAAAAAAAAAGAAAAGAAAAAGAAAAAGAAAAAAGAAAAAAAGAAAAGAAGAAAAGAAGAAAAACTCCCATCAATGAGAGGAAGCCTGTCAGCACCTATTTGGTGGACAGCTACTTTGCTTACATAAGAACAAGGCTTGAGATAGTAATATGAGCATCTGTGTAATGCATAGAAGCTCTCTACATTCTCTGAGATATAAAGGAGAGCACTGACGTTGGAACAGAAGAAAAATACTTAGGACTGGTGTTATTAATAGAAAAAGCTTCCTGATTATCAGTATCATATTTTCTTGAAGGAAACTAATGCTTCTTCTTTGCCCTATAATTACACACCATGTCTGTTAGGACAGCAGTTCTCAAAGGGTGTTCCTTGGACCAGCAGTATCAGCATGATTTATGAACTTCTAAGAGATGCAAATTATTAGACTCTACCATATACCTCCCCAATCAATCACCAGGATTGGGGCTTAGCTCTCTGTTTTAACAAGCCACCCAGGTTCAGGTTCTTCTTTCTTCTTCTTTTCTTCTTCTTTTCTTCTTTTCTTCCTCTTCCTCTTCCTCTTCCTCCTCCTCCTCCTCCTCCTCCTCTTCCTCTTCCTCTTCCTCTTCTTCTTCTTCTTCTTCTTCTTCTTGACAGAGTCTCACTCTGTCACACAGGCTGGAGTGCAGTGGTGCAGTCTCGGCTCACTGCAACCTCCACCTCCCGGGTTCAAGCGATTCTCCTTTCTCAGCCTCCCGATTAGCTGGGACTACAGGTGCCCACCACCATGCCCAGCTAAGTTTAATTTTTAAATTTTTTAATTTAATTTTTTGTATTTTTAGTAGAGACGGGGTTTCACCATGTTAGCCAGGATGGTCTCAATCTCCTGACTTTGTGATCCACCCTCCTCAGCCTCCCAAAGTGCTGGGATTACAGGTGTGAGTTACCGCACCTGATCACCCAGGTGATTTTTATGTGGCCAAAGTTTGAGAGACACAGAGTAGCAAAATGTAATGATTCTTATCGTGCACATGGAAACTATCCGCTGCCAAAAAGTGATGTCCAAGTTATGAAGGGAACCTACGAACAATCTTGTGGTACCTTCCCCACCACAATTCCCTCTCTGCTTCCCACTTCTGAAAGATTATAGGTTTCAGAGCTGTCGTCTTTCTCTCCCAAACAGAGAATAAGCTGAGAACCTGGACAAACAATATGCCTGCTGAGCACCCTCCACATTCATTATACTTTCCAGGTCATGATTAACAGAGGAATTGACATAGAGCTTTTCAATAGCTAATATTACAACTAACACGGCTGTACTTCAAAGTAATTTGCTGACTATAAACCAAATCAATGAGGTCTGGGCATCCTTGCAATAAAATTGAGCCTCAAAGCATTCTGCTAAGATTACACACCTTTCTACCCTAAATGGGATTAAAAATTCTCTATGTCCTTGCCAATAAGACCATTCATTGTACCATTAGGATCACAATGTCCTTTCAGGCAGAACTTGTGTGTGGCACTTACCAGCCAATCTATCGTGATGCAAACATTTGTGTGTATGAGCATGTGTGTATGCATCCCTGTGTGTGTGCACATGTATGTGTGCATGCATACATGTGCATCTGTGAATATGCATGAATAGACATTTTATCTAGGCTTTCCATTTAAAGATTGCTTCATAACTTAAAACTTGTGGGCAAATGAAGTAAAATAATTGACACGTATTTATGGAGACTGCTTTTGTATGTATATATGCTATGAATATTTTATTTTGATGTATTATCTAGAGTAATGGCTCCAGGAAGGTGTAATGATATCATGGCCTCATGGGAAAAGTAGAGGATTTTCGTCCAAATCACATGGCTTTAAATCTTGATTCTGTCACTTATTAGCTGTATGACATAGGGTGGGTTTTTAAACTTTGTTAATCCTCAATTAGGTAGTTCATATAATGAGGAAAATAATATTTAACATGAAGTTTTATAGGGAGCATTTTGTCAGATAATATCCATAAACAAACTGAAATTGGAAGATGCTAAATGATGAATGATATAAAAAAGACATAACCTTGCTTTCAGGGAATAGTGTACTTGCAGAGATATGACAGTCACATGTGAAGCATTGAACCACAACAAAAGAGATAAACAGCCAAATAGCCAAGCACGAAAGGATATAGTTAATTGCATAATAAATGCTTTAAGCGTTCATGGATAGAAGCACAGAGAGAGTAGGAGTTACAAAAGATACTCAGATCAGGGGTAAGCTGAGATTTGAATTGGTCCTTGAAGGGAGGGAGGAACAGCAGGAAAAGGTGAGGAGGTGATAACAGGCAGGATAAACTTAGGAGATGGGGAATAGGCCACTCTGCCTGAAAAGCTGGTCCTGGGCCCTGTGTATTGAAGACAAGCCCGGCAAGGCAGGCAGAGGTGAGCTAAATTGTAGAGGCTTTTGAATGTCAAGCTGATACATCATATGGACAACTGAAGGAGACAGTCTTTTCAATTCACTTTAATCTGCCCTAAGCCCACATAATTCAACAGATCTGTTTACCCACTCTGCCTATTTATCATGTGTTCAAAGTTATCTGGTGTAAGAGAGAGAGACAAGGGATGAGAGCGCAGATAGACACATCACCACATTAGTGATATCCAGCTTCAGCGATTGCATCCCTGCCACCACCATCCCTCGGGCCGGATACCTGGACTCCTTCTTGCTGCAGTGCCCTGGGTGGGATCATTGTGCAATTTTTGTCTCCTTATTTTTCACATGCTCTCACAGTCAGATTGAACATCTCCTCCTGGTCATCATGCCCTTCTACCACAGCTGTGATAATAAGCTGATTCATATTTCTCCTAGTTTCCTAAACCAGTCCCGTTATCTAAACCGTTGCTTCAGAACTTGAGCTTGCACTTGTAATTCTTCTCATTGGTAACTGCTCCCTAGAAATCGCTTCATTGCCTCTTTTCCACCTGGATTGTTTCATTATGAATCTTTTTATTTTGTTATGTATAATGAATGAAAAATAGTATTATGTTTATTTCTTGATCATACTTGATATTCTGTGTCATTTAGTGGTATAATTTATAGCATTTAAATTATAGCTATAATTATGAAATGTCAGTTTTCTACCTTCTGTTTAGTTTTTTAAAATGTTTCTGGGCCGGGCATGGTGGCTCACCCTGTAATTCCAACATTTTGGGAGGCCAAGGCAGGTGGATCACCTGAGGT
The DNA here is from genome assembly GCF_000001405.40 of Homo sapiens. Lineage (NCBI taxonomy): Eukaryota > Metazoa > Chordata > Mammalia > Primates > Hominidae > Homo > Homo sapiens. The sequence goes on along the minus strand of NC_000015.10, from coordinate 86,922,520 downwards.
CAGGGGTTCAAGACCAGCCTGGCCAACAGGGTGAAACCCTGTCTCTACTAAAAATACACAGAATTAGCTGGGCATGGTGGCACATGCCTGTAATCCCACCTACTTGGGAGGCTGAGAGAGGAGAATTTCTTGAACCCAGGAGGCGGAGGTTGCAGTGAGCTGAGATTGTGCCATTGCACTCCAGCCTGGGTGACAGAGCGAGACTTCATCTGAGAAAAATAACAACATGTTTCTGGATTTTGATTTTTGTTATGCCTTTTGCTATATGCAACAATGTAATTTTATTGGTGAAGTTGCTCTGTTAATACTATTACTAATAATATTAAGGCACTGCAAAATACTATTTTTGAAATCAACTTTGTTTCATATTTATTAGCCTTTTTTCTTCTAATTTATGATTATAAACTAGTTATACCTTTAAGGATATATCTTCATCCTCCTACATAAGCCAAAATAATGCAACCCAATCAATGAAAGACTGAAAAATTACGACTAAGTCCATACAGAGTAACCATTGGTTTGTTAGGTCCCTTTTTTATATAGACCTGTGCAGGAAGCAGAGTCCCAGGGACATGGAGGTGGGATATCTGTTTCATGAAGACCTCACTTTATACCTTGAACATCTCAAATGTCGTTACTAGATCAACTGCTCCTGAAGGATATATGGGAGAGCGGACAGTCTGGGGAAACGTGTGCTCTTTATAACTAAGTAAGACTCTGAGTACAAGATGGTGAAATTAGAAGAGGTGGACATGCCACAGGCGCCTTGACATTACAGCCTTGGCCACAGACAGTCTGATCCATGCATGCTGTGCTGCCTTCTACTGCATCCTATTCCTGTCCCACTAGGCAACTCCAAACCTCATCAAGAGGGAGTAGGGACTCCTCTTAGGGGCCTCCTCCTCATTCTCCCTCCCCAAGCATGGAAATAAAAGAAAATATTGAGTTTCTTCCAGGGAAATTCCAGACACCTAGCTGGCCTTGAGAAGTAAGTGAGCAACCTGATAAGCAAGAAGGTAACAGTAGCTCAAAACAATAGCCAAGGAAGCTAGAGTCATGAGATGTTTGGTTCCCTATAGAAACTAAAAATTACATCTTAACGTATGTCCCTGAGTTGTTTTTTCAGAAACTTGGACCCCGACCAAATGGATACACTGGCACGTAGACCTCAGACAAGAGGAGACTGAGGACTGAACTCTGACGGCCATTTTCTGTTCTAAATTTCTTCTTGAGGAGCCTGGAGGAAGTCCCATCCACAGGCTGGAACTCACCATTCCTTTCTGTTGACCCCCAAATCATTAAACAAAGCTTCGTCTGCTTAACCAATCACAGATGAGAAAAATCTTTGAATCCTCTTACGACCTACTTCGAAATGTCCCAACTTTTTTGGTCAAACCAATGTATAACCACCACGTATTTATTGATGACTTTGCCTATAACCTCTGCCTCCCTTCCTTTAAAGACCCTTACCTAGAAGCCGCTGGGGAGGTCAGGTCTAAGTGTGAGCTGCCCAGTTCTCCTTGCTTGGCACTCTGAAAATGAATGCCCTCCTTTCTCCAATTGCAAAACCTCAAAGTGGATGTTTTGCCTTAATGCACAGGTGAGCAGCTCCCTAATTTGTTTTGGAAACACCATGTTCACATCCCAGCTCAGGCAAAATGAAGGAAAAAAACTATGTCTAAGAGAGTACATTTTTAGATGGAGCCAAGAAATCTGGCATAAACCTGGAGCTGTACTTGTCGAGTTCAAATCACAACTCAATCCCAGGCTAGCTGTGTATACTACATCAATACTTTGGCCTCACATGTAAAATCAGAATACTGGGATGAATATACCTATGTTATAGGATTGTCATGAAGATTCATGTTATTAATGTATATAAAATGCTTAAACTGTTCCTAGCACTTGGAGAGAGCATTACATAACCCTTGATAATATTACTGTTTGTGGTAAGCAAAATTATAAAAATAAACCCAATGAAATCTGCCCTGTGTTTTCCCCTTCCCCACTTTTGATCATGGATAGAGGCCCTGACTATGATGAGATTTCACTCCTGTGATTATACTAGGTTTTAAGGCAAAGAATAGATGATCAGGGTGGGTCTAACCTAATCACACTAGCCTATTAAAAGAAGAGAGTTTTTCTGGCTAGTAGAAGTAAAAGAGATTCAAAGCATCAGGGAGGGGTGGTGGTTAAATCCACTTTGTTGGCTTTGAGATGTCACAGGCCAAGGAATGGAGGCGGACTGTAGGAGCTGAGAACAGCCCCTCTGACAGCTGGCTAGGAAATGGGGAGCTCAGTGCCTACTACCACAAGGAACTGAATTCAGACAACAGTTTGAGCTTGGAAGCAGATTCTTTCCCTGAGCTTCCAGATAGGAGTCCAGGCTGACTGACGCTTGGGTTTCAGTTTCGAGGCCTCTTGAACAGAGAACCCACGGAGGTTCCCTGTGCTTCTGACTTACTCACCCTAAGACAGTAAATAGATAATGTTCGACAGCACTAAATTGGTGGTAATTTGTTTCCCAGCAATGTAAAACTGAGGTACAGGTACTGATATCCCTCCCCCATGAGCCTGCCCTTTACTCCTGAGGCCCATGGCAGAGTGGGCCAGGCAGCCCCTGCCTACTCCTTCTCCCTTGTCCCATTTCAGCCCCACTGGGACTCCAGACACTGTGAGTGCTTTACAGGCTGGACACATCCTGCCACACCATCTTTCTCATATCATCTGGCACAAGGTATTACAACACCAATTATAAAACATCGTGAGAGAGCTTGCCGCAGTCGCTTCTATTTATAATCTTCCTCTTACCACAAAAACTGCTCTCTGCAACAGGCACCAAATTAGTGTCCTTGAAGGCTCTGGTTTTTTCTTCATTCATATAAGAGTTTTTCCTTAGGTAGTCGGGTGTGTGTGTGTGTGTGTGTGTGTGTGTGTGTGTGTGTGTCTCAACAGGGAGTGGGCAACTAAGCAGCTAGTCATTGATGAGCCCTAGAGATTTCAGTGTCAATTCATTCTCCCTTGCTGGGCTCTGTTTTTCCTTACCTTAATTAATGTCATGTGTTTCTGGTCTTTTCATCTTGTAGCCACTAAAGATGAGAAAAAAGCAAAACAAAAAACAACAACAAAAAAACTATTCAGAAAAAGAGAAGCATGGCTCAGGTAAGGCTGTCTTTCGGGAATATCACTGACTTATGTCAGACTACAGGAAAATCTATTTCAACAGAGACAGGAAAAGGTAGAGGACCAAGGTGTGTTTCTCCTGTTGCTCTTTGCTAAGCGGTCTTGTTGAAGGGGCCACTCACTTATAGCATTAATTTTTAGGTTGAAGTCAAGTGAAGTTGAGGAACAGTAACAGTTTAGGATTTAAAGAGTATAGATCCTTTCCTAATAAAGTAAACTGAGTATCACTTGAAACTAGCTGATATTGATGTGGTGCATTATAGATCTCTGAGCGTAAGTCTGCAAGGTATCCCTAGCATTACTATGCCACAGCCTTCAAAGTAGTACTCTGAAAAAAATAGAGTCACCAGGGGAACACATGATATTGTTCAGAACACGCACGGACATGACAGACAGAGACCCAGAAGAATCATTTCCTGAACCAGAGCAGACACCTTAAGGGAAATCCTGCTGATCCCAATCCAGACCCGATTTTGTTGGGGACATATTTCTCTATGATGTTTACTTAACCACTGTTTGAAATTCATGTTGTTCATCTTTAAAAATGTTGCTCTGAACATTTGCTAGGGGAAGCTTATAGTGTGCTTCACGTATTTCCCATACACATCATCAACTACCACCATCAGCCCATGGTAAGATTTCTGTAAAAGGTCACACAGCATTTTTGTCTGGAAATGTGGAGAAGGAAGCTGAGCAAAATTTAAATTAATAGGTACGTGGGGGAGAAAACAGGCCTTGACTAAGTCTGAAAATAAGACTCGGAAAATTACAGATCCATTTCCTTTTTTTTTTTATTTTTTGAGACTGGGTCTCCCTTTGTGGCCCAGGCTGGAGTGCAGCGGCATGATACGGATCCATTTCTAATTGAATTTGAAGAAGAAAGTGTGAAGGCAAGTTTGCCTCAAGGGAAAAATGAAGGGAGGAGATGTCCACTGCCACTAGGAACATTTCCTTTTCCGAGGTGTTACACCATGGGGAGAATGGGAAGAGGATGCAAGCTCAGTTCAAACCCAAATGCAGCCTCTCCACTAACCACTCACTTTGCCCAAGCTGCTAACTATCTCCCAGACTTTGTTTCTTTGTCTGTAAAATGGGTATCATAATAGTTATTTACCTCAAAGGGGTTTTGTGAATAGTAAACATTCAGCCCAAGGTCTGGTTCATGTTTATGGTAAGTTGATTATTATCATTACCATCATATTCATGAACTGCCCAAATAAATGGAATCTGTAATTTCCTAGAAATGAACTTTGCAAATTTCTTGCTTCTGCTGAATTCTCTTTGGTGGCTTCCCCCATGTTTTCATCCAAAATGAACAACTGAACCTTTCATCTATGCAAAATATAATGAGAACCCAGCTGCTTGGGAGTAATGGACTTTTACTAGAGATTTGAGGGACTAGGGATGGAGTGAAATGAGATCCCACAGAACAGAGAACAACTTAAAATTCAATCCTGGACATCACTTTTTTATGAGTCAGGACTTCTCTGAGGCCCTCTTTGCTCCCCTGCCTTGAGCCATGCTGGGAAGTCCTCATCCTCTCTCTTCTCTCTCTCTCCTTCTCTCCCAGTGCACACCCCTGGCCCCACTCCCCGAATCTTTGGTACCATCTAATGCACAGCAGAGCAGCTTTTCATCCCTCACCCCGACATTTGCATATCCCCAAATTCAAGAAACCGCCTCACTAAAGGAAGTCTCCAACTGCTTTGAATCTCTACGCTTCGCAATGACAAGGCCTGGAACAAGGTTGTAGAGGTGATCCGCATATGTTTACTTGCCCTGTGGCTGCTGCTAGGTCACTGCTGTCTGTCTCCTTGCATGTTGCATGTAACTGTACAGTGGCCGGAACATTCAGTGTGCTCAGTAATAATGAGCTCCCTTTCCCTAACCCTCTTGCACACATCCTCCCCTAAATGACCAGATTTGAAAGTCATTTTGATTGAAATCCTGAGTGTGTGCAAAGAGCCTAGGAGGAAGCTGGGCCCCAAATGCTGAGAGACAAGGTCGATGAGGGCAGTTGGCCCAGGCCCAGGCAGAGGCCAGGGACAGGAGAGGGACTGTGAAAGAACTCTCTCTGAACAACCAACAAAGAGTCAGTGAGGAGTGGGTGGACCAACTGCACAGTGGGGAGGAAACGAGCCTGAGAGAGCAGCCACGCCTCTCCCCCATCTTCTCTATCTTCTCCCAGGGTGGCATCAAACTCCCCCTTCCAACAGCACTTTAAACACCAGTGCAGCACCTAGCAGGCCAAACCATGTGGATGAAAACAAATTAGATTCTTCCCTGCCCCACCCCAGCTGAAGTTTGCTGACTCAATTCATTCCCCCTCCTTTAGGTCTTCCTGTTTATGTTGTCATTTTGTTTTATTATTTATTTTTAGCCCTGATTTCGGAAGCTTTTATTCTGCTGGGCATTGGCAGGATATCAACGGCACTGCTCTGCTCTGTGCTCTGAATAGATCATTGTGCAGGCCTGGCCTCGGTCCCTGCAGAGACAGAACGCTAGTGTGAGCCACCTCACGCTGCCTCTTCACCGGCCTGGCCAGCCCCGGGCCTGCTGGTGTTCTCTGCAGGCCCCGCCAGCACAGCATTCATGTTCATGAATATTAGAAATAGAAGTGAGGTTAGATTTCGTGTGGTCCAGCCCTTCACCCTCCAATGGAGAAACTGAGACCCAGAGGAAAGGGTCAGCCCAAAGCCATATATTGAAGTAACCGAGCCAGAGCCTAAACCTTGGACTCTCAACTTCTGTTATAATGTTCTATTCCATATGCTACGGAATCACTTAAAGAACAAAACCATCATTTCCTAAATTACACAATAGGTGAAGACCAGAGTGCCTGATCCATTTTTATTATTTACATATTTTTTCTGGACTCTGGATGTACTTACATTCACACACACACACACAAACACACACACACAAAGTCCAGGACATCAATAGGAACTCCTTTCATCGTTCTCACAGGTTATTCTCTGTTATTTTTTCTTCTTTAAAAAATTTAAAAAAAAATTGCTGTGAGCTGGTAGCAGCAACCTGGTGCGGCTTGCCTCCTTGGACAGGCTGCAGCAGCAATGAAGCAAGGGACACGCTTCAGTTCCCAGGACAATGGTCTCTTTGACTGGGAATATACCAAACCAGAATTACAAGTGTGCAAGAATAAACAAGGCTGGAGTCAATCTAAAGTTGTTTTACACTCTGTTTTATTAAAGTCAATGCATTTCCGTTCCTATGTGCCCAGCTTAGGCTTGCTTAATTATAGACACCCGGGGTGAATGCTAATGTAGACAGGACAGTCGGTGATTGGAAAACAAGGCCCTTTTCTGACCTCTACAGGCCATTTGGAGGAAACAAGAAATTGCTTCTGGAAAATTACCGACCAGGAGGCACCGCAAACGGGGCTGAGGGAGGTTTCTCCTGGACGCCTCCTTGAAGCTCTGAGTTGGCTGGACTCACGTGTGTCCTGCTTTCCTGCAGCTCTGCTCTCCATGCGTAAGAGGTTACTGAGGCAACGGGTAGGAGGTCATTCTCAGGAGACCGTTCTAACAGAAATTAAGATCTCAACCATTCAACACATATTTATGGAAGTCCCACCACATCTTGGGCACGATGCTAGGCTCTCAGGATGTAGCAGTGAACAAAATTGTCTTTGTTCTCCAAGATATTACAGTCTTGGTGCAGTGGGGCGGTGGGGGGGAGGTGAAGAGGGGACAGCAAAGTCCACAGGCAATGCCATACAACAAAAGCTGTGACTGGGTTTCTCCAAGATGACAGTAGGAACTCAGAATCAGATCATGGGAGACTTCTTGGAGGAGCCTACATTTAAGCACATAATGGATAGATCTAGGCACATGGATGGAAGAAGAGGGAACAGAAGAGTAAGGTGCTTTCTGAGAATTGAAAGTAAGTTTTTATGACTTTAACAGGGGCTGATGTCAAGAGAAGAGACCAGAAAATTACGTAGTGGCTGGATCTGAAAAGGCTCAAGCACTAGGTCCTGTCTGCATTTTATCCTTAAGACCATGGGAGGTCACTGACAAATTATAAACTGCGAAAGTAGAAGCCGGTTTTCCTTCCTAATACTATCAGGCTGCACAGGGATGAAAGGGTTGGAAAGGAAGCACAACCAAAGGTGAGAAGAGTGGTAAGAAAACTTGAAGTCCAGGTGAGAACAGTGTTACCGAGTCTGATTCTTAGCTTTGGACTCCAACCAAAGCTAAGATTCACACTCAACAACATTGCAGATTCATCTATTTAGTGAAGATCTGAGTACCTGCCTCGGCCAGACAGTGAGCTCTGCATCTGGCACACAAATAAATCAAACAACGCCGGTTTACTATCGGCATAATCAAGTTTAGGAATTTGGAGGTAGAGATTTTGTTGGGAGGAGATTTTGACTTTGAACCTGTTGAGTTTGAAAAGGAGCAGGAAGTTATGCAGAAATGGCCAGTAGGAGTTACTTGTATTTGAGTCAAGGATCTACAAGAACAACACACTTTCCTAGAAATGGAGACTTGCTCCATAACCTCTCAGAGGGCCCTTAGGGGTCTTTGAAGAAAGATGTTTTTCCTTGGAGAGCAAGTTTAAGAGTCCGATTGCCTGAGTTAAGGTTGTGATCTGCTACTTACTACCTGTATCATCTTAGGCTAGCCCTTAAATTCTTAATGCCCTCATTTATAAAGTGAGCATAACAACAGAGTTTAGCTCGTTGGGCTGAAGTTTTAGGCTTAAACATGATGACACCTGCGATGGTCTTAGACTATTATAGATACTAAGTGTTGCTAATTACCACGTTAGCTGTAACTGTGTTATGGTTCATATTCACCTCCTCTGGGGAAGTGGAGGGAGCATGAGTTAGGAAGTCAGATTTCCCCGGGAACAGATTCCAGCTCTATCATTTACTAAACGTGTCTCTTTAAGTATGGGTGCACTTCATTTTTAAAATGGCAATCATAATGTCCATTTATCCCACAGAGCTGGTACTGAGAGTGAAATGAGTCACTTATGTGATTGTCTGAGCAGAGCAGAAACACAGGCAGATTTTTCCTCCTCTAATACCTCCCAAAATAACTTCCTCTTCAGAATGAAGTGTGGGTGGGGTCTGGTTGATAGTCTTCTACCCCAGGACATTCATTCATTTAACCCCCATACCCTGGATGTTTGGATGGCAGACCTGTCGGCTTCTCTGCTTCCTGTCCCGTCCCACAGCCAGTAGAGACAATTGAACTCAATGCCATGTCTTGCCCTGCCCTTCAAGACCAGGGCTACACTCAGACACTTTAACTGAATAGCTCCAAATAATTATGCTTAAGTGTTACTTATTTTGCCAGGAGCTGGTCATAATACTTGTCTGATACCAAGAAATCATTTTAACCCCATAAGAGCCTAGAGACTATAAAAGATCATTGAAATCCCCCCATGTAGAATCATCTTTGCTTCAGCCTTTTTATTTACTTTTAGACAGAGTACAGGGTCTCACTCTGCCACCTAGGCAGGAGTGCAGTTGTGCGATCACGACTCACCGTAGCCTCAACCTTCCACTTCCAGGCTCAGGTGATCCTCCTGCCTCAGCCTCCCTAGTAGCTGGGACTACAGGCATGCACCATCACGCCTGGCTATTTTTTTTCTTTATTTTTTGTAGATTCAGGGTCTAACTATGTTGCCCAGGCTGGTCTCAAACTCCTGGGCTCAAGGGATCCTCCCAGCTTGGCCTCCCATAATTCTGGGATTACAGTTGTGAGCCACCACGCCTTGCCTGCTTCAGCCTTGTAAACAGTCAGTGCTCTCCTCTGTTTAACTACTTGTCATAAGAACTAAATGTGGCTCATTTGGTAATTCTCTCATAGACTGTGTTCTCTACCAATGATACTGAACCCATTTTACTTTGCATTGGAACTGGCCCAGAATATATACACACTTCAAGTACAGTTTATGTCACATGCTAATGAGAGATGAGTCCCGTCTTCTGCCCAAAAGGCCTTCATCTTGACATCTGTGTGACAGTAGAGCCTAAAATCATCAACCAGCTGCCCCTCACCTGTATGAACATGTGTCATGTGTCTGAGGATCAACCTTCCCTCACTCATTGTTATGCTTAAAGCCCTGTGCCGTGTGTGTGTGTGTGTGTGTGTGTGTGTATGTGTGTGTGTGGTGGGGAACTCAAACTCAGCTTCAGCTCCATTATGTTGAATTGTGTGTGTGTAATAGATGATTTTAAGTTATATGCAATTGTATCTTTTTATTATTAGGCACTGAAAGGTTGTAATAGAATCCATTTTTATCTCAAAATTCCCTTTTACCACTCTATTTTTTCTTTTCTAAAGAACACTTTTTATCAAGCATTGGTAGCATGAACCAAACTGCAACACAAACAAAAGAGGACATCTGTTGGGAAGACAGCAGCAGGCTCCAGAGCTGATGAATTATTTTTGCCCAGAAAAGCCCTCCTGGTGGGCACCAGGCTACTATGCATGTCTTTCCAAGACTAGAGAGTTTGGGGAGCTGGGGTGAGCTGTACCAGCAAGGCAAAACAAATCCATCATTTTAATGCAAATCCAAATGCTGAGATCCACCATGCGAGTCATTCTTCTGTGGCCCTAACAAGGATGACTTATGTCAGGCATTTCCTGGGAGCTCCTTCTCTTGGCATAGGGCAGAGGCTGCCCTTAGCATATGAAATCGACTCTACGGCACCATTTTCCAGGCTGATAAATGAAAGGGTGTAATATGACCTTCCTTGTGTTGGCAGCCCTCAAGGTGAGCTTGTAACTCAGGGAGCAGGTTAATTTCAAATATTCTTGGTGGCTCTGAATCCTCTTTCTGGAAGGAAACTGAAGCCAATGTATGGAATTCTTGGATGCTGATTCTTATTGATGGGATTGCAAGGAGAGCCCAGGCAGCCAAGTTGGCATGATATCCATGGAGCTGCACAGACAGTTCTCACCAAAGGGAGCATAGGAGGCAGAGCCCCTGGGTAAATGTGGCAGCTCCTGGGAACCCTTGGAGATGCCACCCCTCCATTATCACCACTCTAAGCATTTGCACAACACAGGTAAGGAAAAGGACACCCTGCCCCTTGTTAAGCTCGCCTCGCACTGGGAACTCTTCCATGGCAACCACCAGCTTGAGAGGCCAGGCTGCACTTGTGCTACACGTCCTTTTAGTGAAACTACAACACAAACTCTTCTTTGTGTTTCCCTGTCTATAACACAAACTCTTCTTTGAGATGGAAAACGGAGGGATTTAAGGAAAATAAGTGAGATTTCATTGAAACATTGGATGTCTGAGTTTGAAGCTGAGGGGAAGACACATTTTTGAACACCTGCAATGTGTTAAGAAGTATGATAGGTATAGGGACAGATGCCAAGATAATAGCAGGTTTGTGCACTTTAGAGCTCACTATTCAATGGTGAATGGGGGTGTGGGTATAAAAGACATATTTATCAAGTTAAAAATAAGCATAGTATAAAAGAGATATATAAACAGTGCAACAGGGGCATGGAAGAGAGATTATATATAACTTGGCATTGGGTGATGAGGACAAGTTTTATAGAAGAAAGGTGATATTTGAACTGAGTTTTGATATTCCCAAATGAGAGAATGGGAGATTCTTATCAGAGGCAGAGGAAAAATGTGAAAATGTTAGAAAAATCAAAAAGTACATTTAGGGAGCTGTGTGGCTTAAGAAGTGCCCTTCCATGCCCCTATTGCACTGTGCATGTGCATATGTGTGTAGACACTCACAAGCATAAGTGCGATGAGAGAGAAAGAGGGTATGTTCTGTGGCAAATCAAAGAGAACAAAGAATGTCAGAACCTGAGGCTGTCAAGGAGATTGGGGCCAGGCTATAAAGGGATCTGTTGAGACATTTAGACTTCCTTCTGAAGGAAATGTGAAGCCACAAAGCCTCTTGCCAGAGGGAAGTGTTACGAAGGGGTCAGTAGTTTCCACCCTTGAGGGCTCGTGGGTGGCAAGTCTTGGGCTTCTATTCTAACAATGGGACTATCTTAAAGGTGAAATCAGAAAGCTCCCAACCTTTGCCCATCAGAGAAGTTTTACCAGGCTGTCCCATGAAGCTGCAGGCCCCCACAGCCCCTCAGCCCCAGTTCCAGTCCTGCATGCAGAGCACCGGATGACAGTTGGTACAGGACAGCATGCACTTGGCCTGCCCCAACATCGCCTCTCTGGACTCTCCTCTCTCCTCTGCACATTTTGGACCACATTTGCTTCCCATTATGGCCTACAACTCCTTGGAATTCTTGGGTCATCTTAGTTTGGCTTTGAATTTGGTAGAACACGTTTTATCCCAACAATTCACTGAAGTGGTCTGGCCAGCAAGAGAAAGTCCTGGCTTGACTGGAAGAATGGCTCTTATAACTATTGAGAGTTAACTCTCAAGTAAGTACCCTCTAACTCTGGATGGAAGACTGGTGAGATTTGACACAAGATAGCCTTCAGTCCTAGCAGGAAAGGAGAGAGGTCTGCTCCCAAGTCCCCTCTTCCCTCCAATCAATTGCCTTCCCAACTCACTGACACCTGGGCTTAGGTGCTCAGGACATTCACCTGTGTCCCCAAAATCACCAAGTGTTAGGTACACCTCTCTTTGTTCTCCTTCTGCTTCCTGAGGTACCTCTGATTTCTAGGAAACCTTTCGAACGGGCTATCATGTAGGCCACCAACATTTAACATGTCCCCAAACTGCACTTATTATCTTTGACCTGAATGCAAACGTTCTGCTCTTCAAATATAGTAGTATCACACCTGGGGCACTCCTCAAACTACTGAACAACCAGCATAGCAGGAGCACCAAACCCTCAGCCATAAACAAGGGAAAAATGGCGCTGATATCAGTCACGGGCATGCCTCTGCTGAAAGCTCTTTAAGTCTCCCCCATTACATTCAGAATTAAATTCAGCCTTTTCATCAAGGAATGCCAAATGCAGCTTTATCTGACTGCTGTCTAGTTTTTCCATTTCATCTCTTGTCACTCTCCTCCTTTCCTCACATACAAACACATCTTTTAAACCAGTCACACTGAACATTTTATTTCAAGCTCTAACTCTACCACAGGGCCTTTGCACAAAATCTTTCCACTCCTTCGCATGTCTTTTCTCCCTTTATACTTGAAAACTCCTGCATATTCTTCAAGAATCACCCAAATTATGACCTTCTTTTGGTAGACTTTTACCACAACTGCCACCCCCATTAGATTAGGCGTTTTTGTAATATTCTTTGCAGAGTTCCATAATGGCATGGGCCATACTGCATTAACTTAGAATGTTTATTGTTCTTCTTTGTCTGGTTACTGAGGGCACAAAATAGGTCTTTCTTATCTGCATCCGTAGAGCTTAGTAAAGTGCATGACCCACAGTTAGGGGTTAAATATACATTTGTTACATAGATGGATCAACAAATACTTCATGTTCCTGGCTTTTTCTGAACATGCCACATAAAAACTTATCTGTCATGGTCACGTTTTTTAAGAAACATGCCTCATGACCAGAAGCTAACCCCCAAAACTAATTTGGGCTGAAATAATAATTAATGATAAGCTAGCATCATTCCCACCTCTCTCAGCAATTACATTTCAATATTATCTTCTTGAATCCTCAAAGCAAAGAGAAATCAGCACCATTATGCTAGCCTTTATTTAAGAGTGGAAAGATTAAATATGGGAGGAGTTAAGAGCTATATAGCGTTTGGGTTTCACTTTCATTATCTTTGCTAATAGTCTTCAAATTTCTTGCATATGTTACATAAACATACATGTCTTAATATGAAGAATGGATATACAATTTCTGAACTACAAAATGGAAACTTGGAAAAGAGTTAAAAAAATAAGAGACTATTAATAATGTTATCAACTCCCAAAATCACAACACAGATGCCTTTCTTCTATGCCTTGGAGCTAATCCTGTTTTGTTCTGTGGCTTTCTGCTGGTCAAGAGGTGTGTGCTATGAGTGTCATCTGAGATTATTCTGATATATCCAAAACTCCCTTGGTGGTGTTTGGAACATCAGGAGAAGTCTTTTGGCAGATATGTAATCTCCCAATATGTATTATTATCTTTTCCCTTAGTATTCAGACTTTTACTTCAAACTTCAAATTTTAGCTGGGCCCACCTCAAATAAAGACTATGTTTTCTAACCTCTCTTGCAGCTTCCTGTGGCTATAGGCCCATTTTTTTCAGCCGGTGGGATTAAGAAGAAATATTATGTAGAGCTTTTGGAAAGATAGAAAACAGGCATTTCTTTTTGTGTTCTTCTTGCTACTGCCTGGGATGCAGATGCAGTGACTGATGCTTCAGCAGCCATTCTAGACCAAGAGTAGAAGCACACACAGTAGAGCCAGAAAACTGCAGAAGCCAGGTCTCTGACACCATGCAGCCATGACACTAGGACTGGTCTTCCAGTGTGTAAAATTCCACAGGAAAGAGAAATAGACTTATGCCTTATGAAAGCTACTACTATGATAAGTTGTCCATCTCTTGCAGCTAAACCTAATCCTAACTAATACACATGACATCTAAAACAGCCTAAGTTTGACCTAGCGTATTCTATCTCTCACTCTACCACTGCCTTTGTCGTCCCTTCTCATCCTTTCTTCGCAGGTCTCGTACACTTCATTATTCAAATAACTAAGCCTCTTCCTTCCGAATGCTAAAAGGCCTTGCTCCATTTTCACCTGTTTTAAGTGATTCCAGCCTCCTAGATTCTGCTCCTCTGTAATCTCCTTCCCAGCTCCCTTCCAGTAAGAGGGCCTATTTCCTACCATGTGACTCCAGAGAATTCTGGATTCTGGGTTTGTCGTCGTTGTTGTTGTTGTTGTTTGAGACAGAGTCTTGCTCTGTTGCCGGGCTGGAATGCAGTGGTGCAATCTCGGCTCATGGCAACCTCCACCTCCCAAGTTCAAGCGATTCTCCTTTCTCAGCCTCCCAAGTAGCTGGGATTACAGGTGTGCGCCACCACACTTGGCTAATTTTTGTAGAGATGGGGTTTAGTAGAGACAGGGTTTCATCATGTTGTCCAGGCTGGTGAGAATTTTTTCTTAACTGTCAGAATTCTTATATAGAATGTTCTTTTGTGTTATGAAGAAAAATAAGCCAATGTTGTTGTGTACCAAATGCTAAGCTATACACTTTTATATATCATCTCATTTCATCCTACAATAATTTTATGATATAGATATACTTATCCACATTTTATATATAAGAAAACTGAAGTTTAGGAAAATTTAATTACTTGCCTAAATTGTCATAACAAGCAACTGCCAGATCTAGCATATGAACCATATCTGTCAGATTCTGAAATGAATAAATTTTCCAGTAGGTCTGGTACTTCCTAGCATTATGTTTGGTGATCTGAATACATAGGATCTTAAAATCTGTGAAGATCAGTGACAATGTCTTATTTCTAAGAGTCTAGTGCAGCTTCTGGCCTGTACCACATATGTAAAATATATGCTGCTTGAGAAGATCACAGATGAAACCTGCAATTACTTGGATGCACAGTTTTTCATGTTCAAGCCCCAGCACCTGAAGACCCTGCCAGGATCCCCAGAGTCTCAGTGGTTTGTTCTGGGGTGCTCAAATGCTATGGTGGGGAGATAACATTGGAAGATAACACTTGTATATGGAACAACTTAAATAACCACTTAGAATTCTGGCTGAGAAGCCAAGAAGAAGCCCAACTCCTCTACTTCCAGCTTGCTCCAGTTCAAGCACAAGAATGGAGAATAACTCAGAAAAATCTTGAAAGGATCCATGGTAATCTTGAGGCTACCCATTGGGTCCCATTCTAAGTACAATAGCAGCTTGCATAGGCCCCAAGGGCTACCTAACTCTAATATAAAATGTTATAAAGTGGCTAGCTTCTACGCATAGGGAAACTAGAACAAAATCTGGAAATGGGGTTGCTGAGCTCACACAGGCTGGCTTTTTGCACTGACATATACATTGTGTGTGTCTGATGATGAAGAAGCAGCAACACAGCTGCTAGTCCAATCCAATGGTTGGAGACACAGAACTTGCTGTGAACCTCGGGGCTATGGGATGGCTTCTCCTCCCTGCCCTGGTGCCTCCTCTTCTTCCTCTCCCTCAAACTTATTGAAGGCACACTCCTGGATCCTCCGGTCCAGCTCAGACAAGCTCCCTTCCTGGTCTGAGCTGTTGTCGGTACTGTAATCAATCTCCTCCAAGCAGGCAGGTTCATCCTCCAGTTCCGAAGGGACGCTGCCACTGCTGCTGCTGCACCTGCCATTGGGTCCCGGGAAATATGGAGAAGAAAGGAAGAAGAGGAAGGTAGACAGGGAAAATGTACAAAGGGAAAGGGAAGTAGAAGGAGGAAGATGGGGAAGAGGAGAGAGAAATGAAAAAGAGAAATTAGCCAAAAAAGGGAACACATTCAATTGGTTGGAAGAGGAGAGTGGAAGTTTCCTGCTTTGAGTTTTAACCTCAGATCACTGCTCCTTTAAATGTGTCATATGCACACTCCCCTGTGTCCTCAACCTTGAGGCTTGGGGGGGAAAGTTGTAACAATTTGCAGGCTTCTTTCTTCCTTTGCCAGCAGAGTATACATTTCTTAGCCCTATTTCCAATCAGAAGATGTGCACAGCCTCACATGTTTAGAATTTTTCAAAGTAGTTTAGGCTTTAAGTGAACAATCAGAGAAGGTCATCACTGAGTGTCTGAGAATGCCATGTCATTTTCTTCCAGGAAAGAGTGGGATTGGAATGCAGGTAGACAGAACTCAAAGCCCTCGTGTTTCCCACTCCAATAAACAGCACTATGAGTCATATTACACGGTTCTCCTTCATCATGATGAATGGTTTATAGTAGCTGGAAAATTAATCCAGGTTGAAATTAACAAATGACAGAGTAAGTGGGCAAACAGCATTCTGCTTCTACAGTGTTTGTGCTTTCCCACTTATGCCCTCTCTCCAGTTTATTAACAAATGGAAGATCAACAGGGGTTGACCAGCAAGCGATAGAAGGGGGCAGTAGGAACGAACATTAACAAAAACTTTACAGCATATTGTGAGCAGGGGGAGTTTCCTCCCAAGGAGCTGTATGTCTCCCTCATTTGCATAAGGCACCTTCTTTCCTGAAGACTTTCTAATCACTCCCTACTTAGGACTTAACCAATTAGGATTAGCAGCGTGCTGGGTTTCTGCTCTGTGATTTATAGAAGGCAAGCACTTCATAAATCAGGCAGAGCTGTTCATCCACCTGCCTTGCCATAAACAATGAAAATGGGTAATCAGCAGCATGGTTACATGTTAGATCGGGAAATGAATCAAAGGCCAGTGTCTTAATTGTCTGCTGACTGATGTGAGCTGCTTCTGTGCTCTCCAGGCTGCGGTACCCTAAACTGAAGGTCTGGTGGGACATTGCCTGAATGGAGAGGAAGGGGAAGAAATATGAAACTTGTTTCTACAGCATCACAACATTAAATTGTTATCATATTTTACAGGCTGACTTGTGGGTAATAAAGTAGCTGAGTAAAGGAAGGCAAGAGCTGCCCCAGCTGCAACACAGGCTCAAGTCATTGAGAACCCTGGGAGCCTGTGCCTCACCTCCATCATGCTAGGTATGGAGGTGTCAGTGTCATGCAATGTCAAAAGCCTGTATTTAAATATTGGCTGTGGGACTTTGGAAAAACTGCTTAATCTAATAGAATGTCAATAATAATACCTCAATAGTTGCATTGAATACTAAATGACAAAACACATGGATATTGTCTAGCAGAGTATTCTGTGAAATAAAGGCAATCACCACATTTTAATTCCATTGCTGTGCTGTTGATTCTGAAGAACATGGTGAAACATGGTGTGGAAGAAGAGCATGCATGTAGATTTGTTGCTTCACACCTGGGTTACTGCAATAACTGTTGCAAAACCAGCCAAATTGGCACTCCTAATAATTTCTCTAAACATCATTTTTATTATGCCACTTTTGTGGAACTTGCAATGATGC
Organism: Homo sapiens; assembly: GCF_000001405.40. Classification (NCBI taxonomy): domain Eukaryota; kingdom Metazoa; phylum Chordata; class Mammalia; order Primates; family Hominidae; genus Homo; species Homo sapiens. The sequence continues at coordinate 86,905,364 of NC_000015.10, read as the reverse complement.
TCCCTTGCCTATTAGTGCAATGTGAGTATTGATGAACAGAGCCTACAGGGTCCAGTGGGACACAACAAGGTCAGTCTTGCTTAAATAATGTCCTGCCTTGCATCCTGCACAGTTGGCTCTAGTCACTCACAAACTTGCAGTTCTCCCGCGCATCAAGTTGTCAAGTCGTACTTGTTGTGATCATTTAGACATACCAGATGTAATATTTTCCCAAGCCTTCACAATTTCCTAAAACCGTCTGCCAACCCCTCAACATACAACCAAATGCAGCTTTTTTAAAAAGCTCACTTTAATTTCTATGAAATGACTATTTTGATAACTCCATCTCTTAATGAAATTTCCATTTTCTAAATATGAGTCTTTACAAATTAATTTATTTTTATCATTAACATGGTTATAGTGTTATTGTCAATAAGGCCCATGCCTCTGTCAGATTTATGTTTATTTTATACTATAGAACACCTAGAATGTAATGAGATCATACTAGACATGCAATAAAGAGTTGCTGAATTGAACATATAACAGGGGTATATATAGAAAAAACCATATTTGAATCATCTTTTGTGGAATTACTTTTTAATTTATTTTTAAAATATTTTTATATATGGATTATACCACAATTATCATGTCTGTGAATTTTAGTGTTTTATAACAAATATGGTTTTGTCATTTATATATAATAAAATACATGTAATATATTTATATATAATAACATACATTTATTATACATAACAAAATAAATATAATAGATACTACAAATAGAATATATAATACTTATTATATATGATATGATAATACATTATGTAACATAATATGTTATAAACATATATATAAATTTAGGAGTCTCAAAATCATTTAATTTTATCTCTCACTTATTTGCCCAAATGCAATGTAAGCATTCTAATAAGGAATTAAGATACATATTCAAGGACTTTCACTTCTGAAAAGATGGAGAAGTATTTTTACTTTTTCCTCTTCCTAATTTCCTTCAATATTATATATTAAAATATTATATACTAAAAAAATAAGAAGACACTGAAACGTGGATGGAGTAGGGAGAGAAAAAGGCAGACCGTATCAGGGCCTCAGGACTAGCAGGTGGAGTTGGCAATGATCTCTCTGGGTTTCCTTTGGGCCTCACATACTCTAGATTTGGAGCTGGAACAGCTGAGAGCTGGAAATGCCAAGAGGTGCAGATGATTAAAAGCCCCAACAAGAGCTTGTTTCCTCTAGCCACACGATGAGGAAGGGGGCAGCTTATCAAGAAAGAAAAGTTTGTTCTACTCCAGGCAAACACCACAGAAAAGCCAGCAGTCCCACCCCCATCCCCACCAACAAAAGCAGGGAGCCTAGGCTTCTACTCTCACCAGACCCCCATCTCCCTCATGCGGGAGCCAAGACTTTTATCCCCACTGGGTAATAATGTGGCTTCCTCCCCTTCAATATCAGTGGAGGTTGTGTGGGGAACCTGGACCTCTACAGGCAATTGTTGGTAACAAGACTGTCCCCTACCACTGGAGAGCAGTAAGGAGGAACTGCTGCTTCTTCTGGCCAGAAAGGGATCAGCAAAGTCCTGGTGGGGAGCTGGAATTCCCACCATGGCCCAGCAGTAGCAAGGAGCCCCTCCCCACACTGGGTGCCCCTGGAGGCCTAGTGGGGAACCTAGACTTCCACCCAACACCTGACAGTAACAAGCTCCCTTTTTCTGTTGTGTGAATGGTGTCAGAGAAATCAGCTCAAACAGAAGATTTAAATAAGATCCATAGCCTCATAGGATAATACTCAAAATGCCCAAGTTTCAACAGAAAATCACTCATCATACCAAGAATCAGGATAATCAAGACATGCCAACAGCAAGATGATACAGCTGTTAAAATTATCTGACAAGGATTTTAAAGCATATAAGTGTTGCCATAAGTAATTATGGACACACATGAAACAAATGAAAAAAATAAAATGTCTCAGGAAAGAAATAGAACATCCCAGAAAAAAAGGTAGGGAAAATAAAGAAGAATAAATGGAAACTGGAGAGTTGAGAAATCCAATAACAGAATTATAGAACTCAGTAAAAAACAAAAAGTCTCAGCAAAGAAATGGAAGCTATAAAGAAAAATGAAATGAAAATTTTAGAATGAAAAAATATCAAAAGCTAGATAAAGGAAACTCAGTAGAGGGACTCAACAGCAGAAAGGAGAAGGCAGAGGAAAGAATCAGTAAACCTGAAAGTAGAAAAATAGAAAAAACCCAGTCTGAACAAAAACGTGAAAATAGACTTTAAAAAAAAATAAAGAGAACATTAAGATCCTGTAGGACTATAACAAAAGATCTAATCTTCATTTCACCATTGTCCCAAAAGAAGAGAGGCTGTGAAGGTATCCAAAGAAATAATGTCTGAAAATGTCCTAAACTATGCAAAGGACATAAACCTACAGATACAAGAAACTTAGAAAAACCCCCAAACAGATAAAGCCAAAGAAATCAAGGCAAAGACAGATGATAGCTAATCTTCTTCAACTAAAGACAAACTTAAAATCTTGAAAGCTGTGGGAGAAACTTTAGGGGAACAATGCCATAGGGAAAAGCAATTAGAATGGCAGCAAAGTTCTCATCAGAAACCATAGAGGCCAGAAGAAAATGGCACACCATTTTTCAAGTGTTGAAAGCAAAGAACTGACAACCTAACACTCTAAAACTAGCAAAGATATCCTTCCAGAATGAAGGGAAACTTAAAACATTCTCATGGGAAGTAAATTTTTGATAATTTTTTGGTAACAGATCTACCCTAAAAGAATGGTTAAAGGAAACTCTCTAAACATAAATAATAAAAAGAAATTTTTAACACAAGCAGGCAGAAAAAAGCAACAAAAGAGTAAAAATATGAGCAAATACATAGATTTTTCTTTTCCTAAGTTTTTAAGATGATGTTTGACAGCTGAATTAAAATTTATAAAATTGTGTGGTGTTTTTTACTATATTATATAAATATTTAAGATGTTCAACAACACTAACTGTGAGGGAAATGCAAATTAAGACTATAATGAGATATCACTGCCCACCTATAAAAAGAAATACAATTTTAAAATAGTCATTATACCAAATGCTGGAGAGGAGATAGATGAGCCAGATCTTTAATACATTCCTGGTATGAGTGTACAGCTGTTCTGGAATGTAGTTTGTTAGTTTCTTTAGAAACTCAAAGCATACTTTGTAAAACGATGCCACAATTACACTCTTGGACATTACACCCAGGTATATAAAAACTTATGTCCACACTGAAACCTGCACATGATAGTTCACAGCAGCTTGATTTGTAATAGCCCAAACCTGGAAACATCAAAATGTCCAAAAATAGGTGAATGGTGAATGAACTGTGGGACCTGCATACCAGGAAAAACGACTCAGCCACAAGAATAAATGTATTATTATTAATATTGATATTAATAGTTTTGCTGTTTGAACATTAACCAGCTAAAACTTTAATGTAACAACTAAAAAAAATTCATCCACAACAGAAAAAACATATATAAAATGCTTAGTCATAAAAGCAATAAAAACTATGTAGGTTTACATGAAAAAAGTACCAAATTTCAGTGTGGGTCATAAAGTGACACCTAAATGCATACAAAGAAAATTATAAACTATTTTGAAGTAAATATTTTATTCAATTATTAAAAATTTTTGAAATTGTTTGAAATGTAACTAGAAGACCAAATCACCAACAAAAACATGGAATTGGGTTCAAAGAAAAAATTATTTAAAGAAAGGGTAATGTGGGGTTACTTGCTCTATTTGTCTTAGGACTCTTTATAAGTTGGTCTAACAAAATATAGTAAAGCTGAAGAAATAAAAATATAGTGCAATAGAAAAGAAAGTTGGAAATGAAGACACCATTATGTATACAAACTATTACACTATAAGAGGGTTTTTTTCAAATAGAGCACCTGCAACAATTTTGGCATGAAATCAAGTTATAACCCTATCTCACACCATGATAAAAATGTAATTCTAAATGGCTTGAAAATATTAAGAAAATACATTATGAAAATATCAAAAGAAAACACAATTAATGTTTTCTAAAACTTATGATGGAATTCTTTCTAAATTTGACACCAAAGGCAATTGAACTCTTTAAAAAAATCTTTTAGAAATGAAACAGAAATCTAAAACCTAGTCAACATATTTGAAAGCCATATAAAAAACCAGAAAAGTCTTGCAATGTGGAAAACCATCGAATGGTCATTATCTGGACTATTTAAAGAATTCTTATAACCTGGACTCAAACAAAATCCTCACCACTGGAAAATGATCAGGGGTATGAAGAGAAAACTTATAAATGAAGAATATGGGGATTAAAAAATGAGGAAAACATTAAAAAGTGAGGTTTACACTAAGTAAAATAAGAATAGCTAATATAATGGGATGTCACTGTTCATGTATAAAATTGACACTAAATATGTGAGAAGATTGTTAAGTGTTGCATTAGAGAGGGTCCAGGTAAACTGATAGCTTTGCAAGTGCTGAAGGGTAGCACAGTCTTTCCAGAAAGTAATCTGCAAGAAGTATCAAAAGCTTTAAAGAAGACACAATCTTTCACCCAGATATTCAACATCTTATCAGTAAAAAGGTTGGGCAGAGATATTTATTTTGTATACCAGGAAGTTCATTCTAGCATTGTTTATAGAAGGAAGAATACACAAGCAAAAAAAAAAAAATTCTGATATAAGATAGTCGATATAAGATACTCGATTATCTTTTCTGAACTCTCAAAAAATAAAAGTCCAAAAAAATCAATTACACTGAAGTTAGAAATTGGCCTTAACCTCAATCTATAGACTATGAAAAATATGTGCTAAATATACTCAAGTTTGGAAAATTAAAAGAAAGAACTAAGAATGGATAAATTATTTTCCCATTTGTCAAGCAGGCTGAGGAGTTTTCTGAAAATTACTAAGCATTCTGATAAGATCAACCAAAAATCTCTCTGAGGAATCTTAGATTCCTGGGATGAAACTAGGAAAAGTAAGAAACATACGTGTATTAGTCAGGGTTCTCTAAAGGGACAGAACTAATAGGATAGATGGATATATGAAGGGGAGTTTATTTGGAGAATTGACTCACATGATCACAAGGTGAAGTCCCACAATAGGCCATCCACAAGCTGAGGAGCCAGAAAGCCAGTCTGAGTCCCCAAAACCTCAAAAGTAGGGAAGACAACAGTGCCGCCTTCAGTCTGTGGCTGAAGGCCCGAGAGCTCCTGGCAAATCACTGCTGTAAGCCCAAGAGTCCAAAAGTTGAAGAACTTAGAGTCCAATGTTCAAGGGCAGGAAGCATCCAGCACGGGAGAAAGATGAAGGCCAGAAGACTCAGCCAGTCTAGTCCTTCCATGTTCTTCTGCCTGCTTTATTCTAGCTGTTCAGGCAGCTGATTAGATGGTGCCCACCCAGATTGAGGGTGGGTCTGCCTCTCCCAGTCCACTGACTCAAATGTTAATCTCCTTTGGCAACACCCGCACAGACACATCCAGGAATAATATGTCGCATCCTTCAATCCAATCAAGTTAACACTCACAATATGCATCACAATATGCATCAGGCTGCAATGTATCACCAAAGCACAGTGTGCCTGGCTAGGACTGAAGGGAGGTCAGGCCAGGATCATTTTTCCATGATATGCACAACTAATTCAGATGAATTGTCTTCATGTGAGGTAAAATGAAGAACAAATCAAGACTTGATATACCCAATAAATATATATAAGTATTATCAAATATAAATTTTAAAGAATTTTAAGATTTTGAAATAAAGAATTTCAAGCTACTTTTTTAACATTTATTTTAGGTTCAGGGGTACTTGTGAAGGCTTGTTACATAGGTAAACTTGTGTCATGGGGGTTCGTTGTACAAATTATTTCATCACTCAGCTATTAAGCCAGTACCCAATAGTTCTCTTTTCTGCTCCTCTCCCTCCTCCCCACCTCTACCCTCAAAGATTCTAGTGTCTGTTGTTTCCTTTTTGGGTTTAAAAGTTCTCATCATTTAGCTCCCACTTATAAGTGATAACACGTGGTATTTGGTTTTCTGCTCTTGCTTTAGTTTGCTGAGGATAATGGCCTTCAGCTCCATCCACGTTCCCACAAAAGACATGATCTCATTCTTTTTTACGGCTGCATAGTATTCCATGGTGTATATGTACATTTTCTTTACCCAGTCTATCATCGATGGGCATTTAAATTGAATCCATGTCTTTGCTATTGTGTATCGTGCTGCAATAAACATTCGTGTGCATGTGTCTTTGCGGTAGAATGATTTGTATTCCTCTGGGTATATACCCAGGAATGGAATTGCTGGGTTGAATGGTAGTTCTGCTTTTAGCTCTTTGAGGAATCACCACTGTATTTTCCTCAATGGTTGAACTAATTTACACTCCCACCAACAGTATATGTGTTCACTTTTCTCCACCACCATGCTAGCAAATGTTATTTTTTGACTTTCCAATGATACCCATTCTGTCTGGTGCGAGATGGTATCTCATTGTCATTTTGATTTGCATTTCTTCAATGATCAGTGATGTTGAGCTTTTTTTTTCATATTCTTACTTGCCACCTATTTGTCTTCTTTTGAAAAGTATCTGTTCACGTCCTTTGCCCATTTTTAATAGGGTTGTTTGTTTTCCTCTTTAAGTTCCTTATAGATGCTGGATATTAGACTATTGTCAAATATATAGTTTGCAAATATTTTCTCTCATTCTGTAGATTTTCTGTTTACTGTGTTGATAGTTTCTTTTGCTCTGCAGAAGCTGTTAAGTTTAATTAGATCCCAGTTGTCCATTTTTTATTTTGTTTCATCTAAGACCTTCATCTAGGATCTTTGACAAAGTGGGCAAAAACAAGCAATGGGAAAAAGACTACCTATTCAATAAATTGTGCTGAGATAACTGGCTAGTCATATGCAGCAGATTGAAGCTGGACCCCTTCTTTACACTATATACAAAAATTAACTCAAGATAGATTAAAACCTTAAATGTAAAACTCAAAACTGTAAAAACTCTGGAAGACAACCTAGGCAATAATACCATCCTGGACACAGGAATCAGAAAAGATTTCATGACAAAGACACCAAACACAGTCAAGCTACTTTTTAGACAGCAGATCAGAGTTGAAGAATAAAATACTAAATTTCCCAAAAATGTGTATTTATTCTGGTGCTTTAATAAAACTCTGGAGAAGTTTTTTCCTGCTATTTTGTGCATCTTTCTTCATTCATTTAATAATTTATTTATCAAATATTTTATTCAGGGCCAGGTGCAGTGGCTCATGCCTGTAGTCCCAGCACTCGGTAGGTGTGGGTGGGCAGATCACTTGGGCCTAGGAGTTCAAGACCAGCCTGGGCAATAAGGCAAAACCCCACATGTACAAAAAATACAAAAATTAGCTAGTCATGGTGGCACGTGCCTGTAGTTCAGCTAGATACTCAGGAGGCTGAGGTGGGAGGATCACCTGAGCCCAGGAGGTCGAAACTGCAGTGAGCTGAGTTTGTGCCACTGCGCTTCAGCCTGGGTGACAGAGTGATTCCCTGTCTCAAAAAAAAAAAAAAAAAAAAAAAGATAAAAGATGAAAGGAGTAAATTATCATAGTTCAAGAAAAAAAAAGGTGATTAAAATTTATGGAAACCATAATCACATTTGAAGCAACAAGAATTAGGGTGGAAACCACTGGGGGGAAAATCAGTGACAAGAAAATCAGAGTTGTGAAGTTTACATAAAACATACTGAACATATCCAAGGAATAAGAAAAATGTAATAAATATGAAAGAAACATTGAAAAACCAATGTAGGGGAGAAAGTTACAATTCAAATATATAAGAAAGAAGTTAATAGGAGAGAAGATAATAGATGTGAAAGTAAAACAATAAAGGATCAATGTAATGGGAAAATATATAGTTTAAAGATATAATAGAAAAAAATCTCATATACAGAAAAACTTACTTGTAGCTCAAAATGGTGCATCATATACACTAGAAATAAGAATAGACTGAATGATCCACAGCAACATATAATCTTACTTATTCAATCATCCATTCAATCCTGCAACACTGAATACTGTCTCTATGTCAAAGAGGGTGCTTGGAGCTGAGAAACATGTAAGGCACTATAGCAGTTTCAAATTCAAAGATAAAGGAAAAAAGTATATAAGCATGTAAGTAGAAAAATAAGTCTTCTAAAGTGAGAAACATAGACTGATTTTAATGTTCTCTACTGTGGAGTCAGTGTCCCTAATGACAGAAAAGGCCAAAAGAAAATTAAAATCTGGCTAAATAATTTTCTAAAAAGCCAAATTGTTTTGCAAAAGAAAGACACTGTCTAACATGCAAGACCTCAAGAAATATAAAAGCTATTTGCTTTCCTTAGGAATGTGCATGTAGTGGGTAGAGGGAGACACTACTTGAGAAAGTCTAGGAAATCCAAAGATTGATATAGTGAAGATCTCACAAATGGGGAGTGCATGGTCAGAGAAGTGTTGATGAGCACAGAACTATGTTATAATAAACATATAACTAAGGATAATCTGGAAATGATGTTTACAAAAGAGAATATAAATGCTATCAATCTTGTCAATGGAAAGGTGATGCTATAACTAATAAAAATAAGAACATATGCATGAGAAAGAAAATGCATATTGGAATAATTTATCTTTTACAGCAGAAGTCAATAGACAATATGCTAATTTTAAAAAAGAAACAAAAAATAGAGATTTAAATATGGGAAAGTAATGTTAGCAACGCAACAAAGTTAGAAAACCTAACTACCAGAAGGGGGAAAATGTTGACAAAATATAGAAATCATAGATTACACAGATGTAGAGTTCACAATTACATTGTGAATCACAAACCATGTAATTCTTGTTGGTGAAAACTTGAGGCCCCCATCAGAAACAAATACAAAATTACCATGCAGGTATTTTTTTTTTTTTAAACCCAGGGTATATGGAACTCTCCTGAGAGGGGGTGAAGACTACAGCCTGCAGAAGATACACTCAAAATAACAAATCATAAGTCAAATGAGGAAATAATCCACCTTGAACAAGACTCAGCAGATACGAAAAGCAGCAAAAGCAGACACTCACGAACTTGAAATATTATGACCCATTTGGAAAAGACTATAGAATGGTTATATTTGAAATAATTAATAAATTAGAATAAGTTCTCGAAACATAATGAAAGAAAAAGATTTTTTTGGGAAAAAAGGTAGATTTAAATATTAAACAGCCTTTTCTCTAAATGAAAAAACATTTTAACAAAAAGCTTAATAGAATGGTTAAATGTCACAGACACAGTTCAGCAAAGATAAGAAACAAGAAGGAATTTTTAAAAGTCGTGTTTAGGGTAAATGGGTAAGAGATAATATTTAAAAAGATACCAGTTGAAAGATGATCATCTTCAAGAAATACTCTAGAAACCAGAAAAAAATAGGAAATATATGAAGTTCATAAGTAAATACATCATAATAAACATCAATAAAGCAGGGCAAATCTTAGAAAACTTGAG